>NC_000002.12:49584291-49887321 GCF_000001405.40 Homo sapiens
CTTAAACAACAGAAATTTATTTTCTCACAATTACAGAGGCTGGAAGTCAGAGAGCAGAATCCCAGCATGGTTGGATTTGCCTGAGAAATCTCTTTTGGTTTATGGATGGGCGCCTTCCTGTGTGTCCTCGCATGGGGGAGAGAGAGAGAGAAAGAAAGAGAATGAAAGCAAATTCTCTGTTGTCTCTTATTATAAGGACCTATCAGATCAATCATATACGGACCCTACCTTCTAGACTCATTTAACTTTAGTTACTGACTTATGGGCCTTATCTCCAAATATAGTTACTTTGAGGATTAAGGTTTCCAGACATGAATTTTGAGAGTACACATTTCAGTCCATAACCATCCTGTAATGGTTTGACACTTTAAAGGGTTAGCTTATAAGTACGAGAAAAACATATACACAAATAACATTCTGAAGAAAATTAAATTTTCTTCTCACAGCAGAGATGGAGGGTAAATCTACTGGACAGTGGATAGCTCACCTTTATATTTATGACAATCACATTTCTGTTTATTACATCATCTAAAATATAATTATTTTGTACACAATTGTGCAATTGGTCTATCAGTAACTTTTCTTTAAAATATTATTTGCAGCTTACTATATGCAGAAAATTCAAATTGAACTCCTTCCTTACACCATATTCAAAGATCAACTCAAGATGGATTAAAGACTTAAATGTAAATTCCCAAACTATAAAAGCCCTGGAAGACAACCTAGGCAATACCATTCTGGACATAGGAAGAGGCAAAGATTTCACAACGAAAACTGGATCTACTAGTTGATTTGCCATGAGATCCAGGAGCATCACTTAACTTCTCTAAGCCTCAATATTTTCATACATAGAATGGTGGTTAAGAAAAATAATAGAACTTCTAGGTGGATAACTTTTTTAAAAATCTGTTTACCAGGAGAACCAGGTTCAGGAAGCTTCTGGTTAGATGAATATGTGGAGATTCCTGGAGAGAGGCAGGCCGAGGACATGGAAGATGTGCACGCCTTCCCCCATACCTTGCTTTATGTGTCTCTTCATCAGTATCCTTTGTAATATCCTTTATAATAAACCAGTAAGTGTAAAAAGAAAAAAAAAGTGTGTTTTAGCTGGGCATAGTGACTCACACTTGTAATCCCAGCACCAATTTGGCAGACTGAGGCAGAAGGATAGCTTGAGCTCAGCAATTCTAGATCATCCTGGGCGATATGGTAAAACCTTGACTCTACAAAAAAAATACAAAAATTAGCTGGGCGTGGTGGTACACACCTGTCGGCTCAGCTACTTGGGACACTGAGGTGGGAGGATCTCTTGGGCCCGGGAGGTCAAGGCTATAGTGAGCCACAATCATGCCACTGCACTTCAGCCTGGGTGACAGAGCAAGACTCTGTCTCCAAAAATAACAACAACAAACCCAAAAAAGTGTGTTCAAAGTATTTAATATCATGCTCCTCTTCCCTGTTCCTATAACACTGAATGGCATATAATACTAAGCTATGGTATAGTTAAGAGCTTTTAGATCATCAATAGTACTTACATACACAAGCTGAGACCACCTGAACCTGAGCTTGTGGCCATAAAAATAGGGACAGTTGTCCAAGAGATATGGCCCCCCTTTACATTCTGCCAAATACAGCTGTTCTGGCCTGGGTGGAAGCAACTCACTATGAGCTTCATCCTCTTCCAAACTAGTTGCCATGTCTAAACATGAGCTTCTATTGCTCTAGGTAACCGGTCTTACAGGAGGAAGAAGAGCAAGATCAAAGGGGTGAAGTAAACTCAGAAAGATTCTTAACCTTAAATATTCTCAATCTAGTCTAGAATGTGCTGATTAGACATAATCTAAATAAACACTTGCAGCACTGATAAAATATGTTAATAGGTGAGGTCCTTAGAAGCTTTGCAGGAGACATGTACGGTGTCATAATTGTTTCAGGCCAAATGAAACCCTCCCAACATCATACGTTGTCTAATCCTTCAAGATTTGGGAAGAGAAGGAAAACTTCATGAGCTGAATTTTGCATTGTGGAGAGAGAAGGATGAGGTTGAGTACTTAAAAATACACATTTTATATCTTCGTTGAGCATCTGCTATATAATAAACACTGTGCTAGGCACCAGAAAAAATACTGAACAAAATGGGCATTGTCTTCAGCCCTCACACAACTCACAGTCTAAAGGGATGACATATTTTTAAGTGCTTCCTGATACTAATACAAAGCACATTTGACTATTAAAAATGTTTCCTGTTGTTTTTCCAGATGTCAGTCTCATGTCTTCTCATCCTTCCATATGGTTCTCAGCCTAGATCACTTCAAATTCATTATCCCCTTCTCACACTAACTCTTTTTGGGTTGGGGAGAGCATTCCAAAATCTTTTTATTCTTTTCATTTGGGCTTCAAACCCAGGTGAATCACTACATTCTCTAATAGTAAAATTCCTGAAATTATTCTTTCCACAAACTATCCTTTGGCCAACTTGGAACCTTCTCTTGAGAAAACCATCACTCAGTAGGTGTTTTAGAAGAGTTTTTGTTTTAGTCATAGTGAGACAACAGTTAAGTTCCCTATTCATGCACTTTCCCCCAACTCAATGACGTACTATCTTTTCAAGGATTCTTAAGTTAAATTTAGTGTCAAGATCCAGTCACGGTAACAAATTGATGAGTTTAAACAAACTGCCTCGATGGAAGACAGACCATAATCATTCCTTCCCCCATGCCTCAATACTCTGATCTTCATCAGCAGCTTCTCTTAGCACTATCTGGCCAGAGATTTCTACTTATTTTACACAATTTCTTTGACTCAAACCTCAAGAACATAATTTCCTCCTCCTGACAGCCTATGGCCTTTAAAGGGCATTTCACTTATGGAAAGAAATTAGCCTGAGAGGCTGGCCAAGTTAAATGAGGTCTATCACAGATAAAATTTAGAGAGCAAGAATGGGTAAATAATAATGAATTTATTAAACAATAGCAAATATTATTGAGCCTTTACTGTGTGCTTTATGTGCATAATGACAACACTATGAGGCAGCCACAAGTATTACATCTACAAAAGAGGCATAGAGGTATTAAGAAACTTACACACAATTACACAGCTGAGAAGTAGCCAAGTGAATTTGAGTTCAGACAGAGTAGCTCCAGAAGCCCTGCCCTAAACCACTATACTACAGAAAAATGTTTTACCATAAGACTCAGAAATAAGACTAGCTCATTCAATACTAGTAAGTTTATTATTATTATTATTATTATTATTATTATTATTATTATTATATTTTAAGTTCTAGGGTGCATGTGCCCAATGTGCAGTTTTGTTACATAGGTATACATGTGTCACGTTGGTTTGCTGCACCCATCAACTCATCATTTACATTAGGTATTTCTCCTAATTCTATCCCTCCCCCAGCCCCCCACCCCCCAAGAGGCCCCAGTGTGTGATATTCCCCTCCCTGTGTCCACGTGTTCTTACTGTTTGACTCCCATCTATGAGTGAGAACATGCAGTGGTTGGTTTTCTGTCCTTGTGACAGTTTGCTGAGAATGATGGTTTCCAGCTTCATCCATGTCCCTGCAAAGGACATGAACTCATCCCTTCTTCTGGCTGCATAGTATTCCATGGTGTATATGTGCCACATTTTCTTAATCCAGTCTATTACTCATGGACATTTGAGTTGGTTCCAAGTCTTTGCTATTGGAAATAGTGCTGCAATAAACATATGTGTGCATGTGTCTTTATAGTAGCATGATTTGTAATCCTTTGGGTATACAACCAGTAATGGGATCACTGGGTCAAATGGTATTTCTAGTTCTAGATCCTTGAGGAATCACCACACTGTCTTCCACAATGGTTGAACTAGTTTACACTTCCACCAACAGTGTAAAGGCATTCCTGTTTCTCCACATCCTCTCCAGCATCTGTTGTTTCCTGACTTTTTAATGATCATCATTCTAACTGGCATGAGATGGTACCTCATTGTGGTTTTGATTTGCATTTCTCTGATGACCAGGGATGATGAGCTTTTTTTCATATGTCTGTTGGCTGCATAAATGTCATCTTTTGAGAGGTATGTGTTCATATCCTTTACCCACTTTTTGATGGGGTTGTTTTTTTTCTTGTAACTTTAGTTCTTTGTAGATTCTGGATATTAGCCCTTTGTCAGATGTGTAGATTGCAAAACCTTTCTTCCATTCGGTAGGTTGCCTGTACACTCTGCTGATAGTTTCTTTTGCTGTGCAGAAGCTCTTTAGTTTAATTAGATCTCATTTGCCAATTTTGGCTTCTGTTGCCATTGCTTTTGGTGTTTTAGTCATGAAGTCTTTGCCCATGCCTATGTCCTGAATGGTATTGCCTAGGTTTTCTTCCAGGCTTTTTATGGTTTTAGATCTAACATTTAAGTATTTAATCCATCTTGAGTTAATTTTTGTATACAGTGTAAGGAAGGGATCCAGTTTCAGCTTTCTACATATGGCTAGCCAGTTTTCCAGCACCATTTATTAAACAGGGAATCCTTTCCCCATTGCCCGTTTTTGTCAGGTTTGTCAAAGATCAGATGGTAGTAGATGTGTGGTGTTATTTCTGAGGTCTCTGTTCTGTTCCATTGGTCTATATATCTGTTTTAGCACCAGTACCATGCTGTTTTGGTTACTGCAGCCTCGTAGTATAGTTTGACATCAGGTAGTGTGATGCTTCCAGCTTTGTTCTTTTTGCTTAGGATTGTCTTGAATACTAGTAAGTTTTAAATTTTTGTTATCCTTGGTTACTTGCAAGAGAGATCAGCTTTTAGTAAGATATTTCAGCTTTTGAAGTTTATATTATGTCCCCTCAGTTAACCACTTTTCACACACACATCTTTAATAACATCTGAAAAACATAGTTGATAAAAAATTTGAATGCAGAATAACAATCCTACTAAAAATGGACAAACTACTTGAACATATTGTTTACCAAAGAGGATACACAGATGGCTAACAAACACACACACAAAAATTATAAACATCATGCAACATTAGAGAAGTGCACATTCAACCTACAATGGGATGGAATATGCCACACACCTATTGAAAGTTTAAAATTAAATAGAATCATCATACCAAATGCCAGTGAGCGTAAGGAATAACTAAAAGTCTCGTAAATACTGGTGTTTAAGTAAAATAGTATAACCACTCTGGAAAATAGCTTGGCAATGTCTTAAAAAGTTAAGTGTACACTCACCAATTGAAATAGCCATTCCACTCCTAGGTATTTGTCCAAGAGAAAATAAAGCATATATTTATAAAAGGATTCGTAAGCAAATGTTGATATCTGAATTATTTGTAATAGCCAATACCTGGAAACAACTGCAATATCCAACAATGTCTGAATGGCTACACAAACTGTGGTATATCTATACAATGAGATACTACTGACTGATAAAAAGGCATGAACTATTGACGCATGCAATAATATGGATTAATCTCTCAAAATAGTTATAATGAGTGAAAGAAACCAGACACAAAAAATTACATAGTTTATAATGCCAATTATGTAAAACTCTAGAAAATGCAAATAAATCTCTAGTAACAGAAAACAAAGCAATTGTTGCCTGGGAGAGCAGTAATAGGAAGGGATAGGATGGAGAAATTACAAAGAAGAAACCAATCTACTCACTATCTTTTAGTTATGGTTTTTCAAAACTTATCAAATTGTACATTTTAGTATAAGCAGTTTATAGTATGTCAAGTATACCACAATAAAACTCAGTTTAAAACGTTTTTTAAAAAGTTTTTAAAAATGACCATAACACCCTTATTGAAAAACAGAACTTTTTCCAAAATTTTGACTGATGTTGGTTTGTGGCATTAACATTTCTGGGGAAACTTTAATGTATGTTATTGTGAGACTAATAAGCACCCCAAATATTTCAGTCCTGATGTGTAATTCCAGAAATTTTGATAGGTCAAGGGAAATGTCTTTGCTTTCAGGGAAGCCTCCCTTTCCCTTCAAATCTACCTGGTGGTTTGGCTGCTTTTTCCTGACACAAATTTGAATAGTCCTGACTGCATATGTGGGAGGTGATACTTGATGATCTTCCTGACAAGTCGTCTCATGCATGGAGCCACCTGATCAAACTATTCCCCAGAAGCTGTACATCTGGATCATTTCAGCACGCTTACTTGAAATTGTCAATCATTTCAGAATGCCAGAGAAATCTGTTTTTCTAGGTTGTAGAGAAGAGACTTCTATTTAATGTCTGTAAGATCTCTTGTTTGGTTTACCTTAAGGTTGAAACCCTGCCTGCAGGTGCACATTTCAATTTTCTATAGTACTTATGATTAACTTTTAAGAGTTGTTTGGTTTTGTTATTGACAAGGAAACAAAAAACAAACAAAAGAAATTGCACATGTTGAACGCTTGATGGGTGTTCAGTTAAATTATTTCTAACAGAATATTTAAGACTCAGTAAATATAGTTATTATTTATAAATGTCAGCACATTTAGATTTTCAACTACATAGCATTTCAATACTTGTCAAGGAGATGTATATGCATATGTATATGTATATGTACATGTACATGTATATGTATATGTATATGTATATATATAGAGAGAGAGAGACAGAGAGAACCTAAGCTTTCACAACCTTTTTGTCCACACTATAGTACTATGAAGTAAAGATTACTATAAAATGAAGAATTCTATGATGAATTTTATACATTCTTGAATGTACATTAGAGCTTTTAATACTCTGTGGGTAAAAAAATATGGAAAATAAAACTAAGCAAGTTATGAGCATATTTTATAGATATGTTAGTATTGAAGTATATCATTTCAACCTTACCTTTGAGAAGTACTTGAATCCCTCAAAAATTTAGATAATTTTTAAGGCAACTTTATTATACATTTCTTGTGGTAGAATACATTTACTTTGAGATGGTATTATAAATACACACACATATATGTGTATATTTATTTATACATGTACACACAGTTAATAATCATTAAATATGGTCTGCTTATATTTTTCATCATGCTTCAAACTTGTTATATTCAGAATGCCCACTTATATAAGTATTTCAGTAATAAAATTGGTTTTTATTTTTTACTTTTCATAAGCATGATTTAATTTTACACTATATTATATTTCACATCATGGATTCAGCCCTAGGCAGAATTTAATTGATGCCTATAATAAACTCCGAGTTTTTTATGAGCTAACAAATCCTAATCCTCAAGACAAAAGTATAAACAGGACCAACATTCTTGAGTCACCTAATTGTTTTTTTCTGCTAAAAATTATTATCTTTATTTGATCTATAGCCATATGTGTACCTATATTTATTTATACATACACTCACACACACATTCAAATCCACTTACACAAGCATATATAAACACATTCAACAGCAGAAGGCCAATAGTTATAGTGCTTATTTCTAAACAGAGAAAGATTCCAACATAATTGTATTCTTTAATCAAGAATTAAAAAAAAATTCTGATTTATTTTCTGGGAAAGAATATAATTATTTATTTCTGTTTGTGGATTTAGATGCTATAGAAAACTGTATAAAGTACTGCTCTTCGTAAAATATTGGTTAATATTCAAAATATTGATAGGGTTTAAAAAACTCTATTTGAGATAACTTACATATTAGGTATTTCATGTGCACAATAGCTATTGCCCTTAATAAACTGATTTTTGTGGGCTACAAATTATTAAATAATACTTTTGGATTTATCCTGTGTTTTATCTTTTGGCAAATGATAATTTATGCCTATAGCCCACTGTTCAGTTTTCAATATAGCATAAAAGGGAGTCAAATGCAAATAAAAACATTTTGATAAAACTTCATTCTATATAGAAAAAAATAGATGAGTGCACGTTTAGAAGTAGGTTGATTTCAAGTCAATATCAAATTTCCAGGAATATACCTATTTAAATTATACATAGACAGTTTTATTTTATTGGGAATAAATTAGGTGGAACAACTCAGCATGAAGACAGGGATAAATATTCTCTGAAGATATTATGAGCACCTTTCTAGAATTCTTCCTATAACACAGCCTTATTATCAAATGGGAACTTCAAGCTAACTTAACAGCTATGGGGACCCAAAGGCATACAGACTGGTATAAGGAACATTGAAGACTCAGAGGGGGAAGAGTAGGAGGGGAGTGAAGGATTAAAAATAATATACATACTGACTACAATGTGCAGCATACAGGTGACAGGTGCACTAAAATCTGACTTCACCACTATACAATTCATCCATATAATGAAAAACTACACATACCCCCAAAACTATTGAAATAAAATATATGTGTGTATGTGTGTGTGTCTATGTGTATAATTTTTAAAAGCATACCTTTACATATTTAAATATTTCTCATATTTTCATTATAAATAAGTAATATATGGCAGTTTATCTCTACATTTCAGAACTCTCAAACATAGTGATGGTTACAAAGAAAGACTCTTACCACAGTTGATATTGAAAACTCTTTTCAGTCTTACTTATTGATGTGGTTTGGCTCTGTGTCTGCACCCAAATATCATCTTGAGTTGTGATCCTTAGTGTTGGAGAAGGGTCCTGGTGGGAGGTGACTGGATCATTGGGGTGGGATTTCTATATGCTGGTCTTGTGATAGTGAGTGAGTTCTCAGGAGATCTAATGGTTTAAAAAGCATGTGGCACTTCCCCCTCACTCTCTTTCTCTCCAGCTCCTCAATGGGAAGATGTACCTTGCTTCCTTTTCACCGTCCACCAAGATTCTAAGTTTCCTGAGGCTTTCTAGTCATGCGTTCAGTTAAGCCTGCAGAACTGTGAGTCAATTAAACCCCTTTTCTTCATAAATTACCCAGTCTCAGGTAGTTCTTTATACCAGAGTGAAAATAGATTAACACCAAAAATTGGTACCAGAGGAGGGGGCACTGCTATAAAGATACCTGAAAATGTGGAAGTGACTTTGGAATTAGTTAATGGGCAGAGCTTGGAACAGTTTGGAAGGCTCAGAAGAAGACAGGAAGGGGTGGAAAAATTTGGAAATTCCTAGAGACTTGTTGACTGGTTTTGACCAAATTACTGATAGTGATATAAACAATGAAGTCCAGGCTGAGGTGATCTCATATAGAGATGAGGAACTTATTGGGAACTGGAGTAAATGTCACTCTTGCTACGCTTTAGCAAAGAGACTGGCAGCATTTTTCCCTTACCCTAGAGATCTCTGGAACTCTGAACTTGAGAGAGATGATTTAGGGCACCTGGCAGAAGAAATTTCTAAGGACCAAAGCATTCAAGATGTATCCTGGCTGTCTCTAAAACTATATGCACATATGTGTGAACAAAAAGATTGTATGAAACTGGAACTTACATTTAAAAGGGAATCAGAGTATAGAAGTTTGGAAAATGTGCAGCCTGGTCATTTGGCAGAAAAGAAAAACCCATTTTGGGTGGAGAAATTTAAGCCTGTTGCAGAAATATGCATAAGAAGAGCCAAATATTAATAGCCAAGACAATGGGGAAAATGTCTCCAGGGCATTTCAGGGACCTTTACAGCAGCCCCTCCTATCACAGGCTCAGAGGCCTGGAGGGAAAAATGGTTTCATGGGCCAGGCCCGGTGCCCTATTGCTCTGTGCAGCCTCAGGACTTTGTGTTCAGCATTCCAGCCACTCCGACTCCAGCCGAGGCTAAAAGGGGCCAAAGTACAGCGTGGGCCATGGATTCAGAGGGTGCAAGCCCAAAGCCTTGGCAACTTCCATCTGGTGTTGGGCCTGCAGGTGCTCAGAAGGCAAGAGTTGAGGTTTGGGAAACTCTGCCTAAATTTCAGAGGATGCGTGGAAGTGGCTAGATGTCCAGGCAGAAGTCTGCTCCAGGAACAGAGCCCTCATGGAGAATCTCTACTAGGGAAGCACAGAGGGGAATTGTAGGTTTGGAGCCCCCACACAGAGTCCCCACTGGGGCACTGTCTAGTGGAGCTGTAAGAAGAGGGCCACTGTCCTCCAGATTCCAGAATGGTAGATCCACCAAAAGCTTGCTCCACGCACCTGGAAAAGTCGCAGTCACTAAACACCAGCCTGTGAAAGTAGCCAACGGGGCTTTACCCAGCAGAGACACAGGGACCCAAGGCCTTGGGAGCCCACCCTTTGCATCGGCATGCCCTGTATGTGAGAGATGGAGTCAAAGTAGATTATTTTGGAACTTTAAGATTAACGACTGTCCTACGGGGTTTCAGACTTGCATGGGGCATGTAGCCCCTTTGTTTTGGCCAATTTCTCCCATTTGGAATGGGAGCATTTACGCAACGACTGTACATCCATTGTATCTTGGAAGTAACTAAGTTATTTTTGATTTTACAGGCTCATAGGAAGAAGGGACTTGCCTTGTCTCAGATGAGTCTTTGGACTTAGACCTTTGGGTTAATGCTGGAATGAGTTAAGACTTTCGGGGACTGTTGGGAAGGCATGATGTGTTTTGAAATGTGAGAAGGACATGAGATTTGGGAGGGGCCAAGGGCAGACTGATAACGTTTGGCTCTGTGTCCCCCCCCCCATCCAATTCTCATCTCGAGTTGTGATCCTTAGTGTTGGAGGAGAGACCTGTGGGAGGTGACTGGATCATGGGGTGGATTTCCCCTATGTTCATCTCATGATAGTGAATAAGTTCTCATGAAATCTGGTTGTTAAAAATGCATGTGGCACTTCCCCCCTGCTACCTCTCTCTCTCCTCCTCCACCATGAGACGATGTGCCTTGATTCCCCTTTGCCTTCTGCGATGATTGTAAGTTTCCCAAGGCCTCCAAGTCTTGCTTCTGGTTAAGCTTGCAGAACTGTGAGTCAATTAAACCTTTTTTCTTCATAAATTACCTGGTCTCACGTAGTTTTTTTATAGTGTGTGAAAACAAACTAATACACCTCTCTATGGACTCACCTACCTTGTTATTTAAGAGCAAAATATCTAATAATAGAAGAACTTATGTCATATCACAATGGAGTAGTAATCCATGGTCATAAAAATGATACAGTAGGCTAGGCGTGGTGGCTCACACCTGTATTCCCAGCAGTTTGGGAGCCTGAGGCGGGTGGACCACCTGAGGTCAGAGTTCGAGACCAGCCTGGCCAACCTAGTGAAACCCCATCTCTACTAGTAGAGTGAAACCCCATCTCTACTAGAAATACAAAAAATTAGCTGGCTATGGTGGCATGCGCCTGTAGTCCCTGCTACTCAGAGATTGAGGCAGAAGATTTGCTTGAACCCAGGAGTCAGAGATTGCAATGAGCCAAGATCACGCCACTGCACTCCAGCCTGGGCAACAGAGCGAGACTCTATCTTGGAACAAAAAGAAAAAAGATACAGTAATCTTTCACTATTGATTATTATTTCACATTAATCTCATATAGTCCAATAAGGACAGTTTATAAACTGGCAAAAAATAAAAATAAAGCAAATTTTGGCAAAGAAAAATGAACCCAAGAATTGGAATGGACTATTAACAGTCATAGGGTTTTCCTTTACGTTGATAAAGGTATTTTGGAATTAGAGAGTCATTTTGCAACCTTGTGAATATACTAAAAGCTACTGACTTGTACACCTTAAAATGATGACATTTATGGTTTGTGAAATATATCTAAGTTCTTAAAAGATGAAACTACTTTGAAAAACAAAAGCCTTATGAATATGGTACTTTAAGCATGAACTTAGTTTTTAATCTAATATTACTGCCATGTTGTATTAAATATATTTGTTTCAAGAGTATTCATGATAGTTCACTTGATAATTTTTATAGCAACTCATTTAAAATCCTTGTTAAGTAACACCAACAACTCAGTCATCTAATCCTCGGTATCTGTTGATTGTCTCTTCTGATGCAAGTTGATTGTCTCACATTTCTTTATATGCTGGAATATTTTGAATATTATATCAAGAGACTCTGAGTCTTGTTTAAATCCTACAGAAAAAGTTGGTATTTAGTTTTAGCCTTCTATGGCCATCAGTCCCAATATGAGTTTAATTTTTCATGTATTTACACTATTATTCAGATCTGTCCCATGTGTGTACTACTTAGTGGTAAGTCTGGGACCCATCTTCTCATTTCTAAACATTTTTATGCTAAATAGAATTAGATTTATGTATGTGCAGTTTGGGGATGAGCCCAAAGTTTTATAAACAAATTTATGGTGTCACTTTCCCTCTTGCTCTCCATGGCAGCCCCAGTAATTTTTCTCGTGCTTCTTTTTGATTGTCCAGCTAGAAACCACCTACTTTCATAATTCTACCATGCCTGGGGCTAATTAGTTGGAGGATCAAAAGTGAGAAAGAAAGGCAATTGAGTTTGGATACATTATATTGACGCAACAGATCCACTACATGGAGATGAATGTTTTCTACATTCAGAGCTTTGGCTCCAACAGGCCTCCATTGCTGACTGATGTCAATGTCACTGATCTCTTCACCATGGGATTTCCTGGTGACTGAAGAATGAGAAAGCATAGAAAAAGAAGAGAAAGAAAGTCAAAGGATTTACCCTCATTCTTTTTGAGTTTTAGAAATTCCCTTTCAAGCTCATACATGCAGTACTCTCTACCTTTCTCTCTGCCTGCACTACAATGCTCAATTCCAGGTTTCAGGCTTTGTTGAATTTTAGGCTGGGAGAGACCTGGAAGAAAAAAAAGATAAACTCACCACTAGTTCAATGATGCTCCAAATTCTGGCGTTTTTCTCTGATCCACTTGTTGCTATTTGCTTTTCAAGTTCTCAAATAGCTAGGCCGTGAATTCTTTCCTGGTTTTATAGTTGAGTTCAGTGGAAGTGAAAAGGGGCTTGTGTTAACTCCGTCTTAGCTGGAACGGGAACTCTGTAAGGCATATAATATGCAAATATTATTTAAACAATACATAAGGCATGCAATTTATAAGTAGTAATTAGAAAGAATTATCTTGCCTCAAATTCTTAAAATATTCTATTAAGACATTGTAAAAACCATGAAAATAATTGATGACTATCAGTTTAAAGTTTCCAAGTTTTGCTTGATCAAACTTCTTTATCAAATTATAGAAAATCAGATAAAATTTTAAATAATAAAAACACTGTAAACAATATTTATTGATGTTTTGACCTATGACCTAAGCTTGGCAAAATGGTTTAAATGTGTCCCCTCAGAAAGTGTATGTTAAAAACTTAATCACCAATGAAACAGTGTAGGGAGGTGAGGTCTAGTGGGAAGCATTTAGGTCATAAGAGTTCCACCTTCATGAATAGAAAAATGCTGATAATAAAAGAGCTTCAGCCTGAAAGTTTGATCTCTTGCTCTTTCTCTCTTTCTCCTTGCCCTTCTACCCTGGGATGATGCAGCAAGAAAGGTTTCACCAAATGTCAACTCCTTGATCTTGGACTTCCCAGCTTCCAGGACCATGAGCTAATAAATTTCTGTTTGTTATAATTTACTCAGTCTGGAGTATTCTGTTATAGCAGCACAAAACAGACTAAAATACTTGGCAATGTAGAAATATACAGAAATCTAAAATAGGATATATGCCCTCAAAAAACTTTTTAAACTTATCAGGAAAACTAAATATAAACTAGTAAAAAATTACGCTACAGCAAAAGAGTAAAATAATTTAGGATAACAATGGGAAGAAAAGAGGAAGGCAATGCATGTCTAAATTGACAAGAAACTCTCAAAGTCAAAAAAGATACTATATACTCTTGTGGGGAAAGAGAGATCTTAGCTGGGTCTACAAGAACAGCCAGAATGTACATTGGTAGTAGAGAAGATAGGAAATAATTCTAGGTGGATTGTGCTGCATGAACAAAGTATGACAAGAGAAAATATAAAAATAGATAAGCCAATTTGCCTAGAGATAATGGCTTATGAAAAAAAGTAGGTAACTATGGTGGAAAAAAATCGGCTATGAATGTAAAGCTCTAAAGTATAATTTTGAGTCTACACTTTTTTCTTGGGCATATTTATATCTAAATGCTATGTAATTTGGCTTAATAAATTTAAACAATGTATTTTCAATTGCTTGGCACTAAATGTTTTTTGCTTTTGGTGGGGCAAGGCCCATTGATTGGAGTGCTCACATGGACAAGGGGTAATGAATAGCAAGTTTAGCACAGAGATAATGTACAATATCATCTTTCTATTTCTGGTGACAGAGTTCAGAGAACAGGAAGTCAATTTGGCAGCTTCAGCACAGCCTTGCCCACAATAAGCCTCATGCAGTAGGACAGTTCCTGGATAAAAGCAGGCTAATTCTAGGGTCCGAAAAAGAAATCTCAAGAATCACCTGATAAGAAAGCTGCTCTGACAAACTACTGAAATAAATTATGCCCTTTGATGTATCATGCCAGCTACACTCAGAAGCAGAGATATTTTAGTTATGAAGGAACAGAGTTTGTTGATAAAGATTGTTTAGGTTCTCAGAGACATAGCTTGGGTCCTATGGCACCCAAGAACTGTGTTGTCTAGATTGTATGCTACACCATGTTGTGGCAGATATGTTTAGTTTTGAGAGGCATGTTGCTCATAGATTTCCTACTATCATGTTCTCATTCTTCAATCCTGATGCTGAGATTAGCCCAGTTTAGTTGATCAGTTTTTCCTTTCCTCTATCCCCACTTCTTTCTTTCTCTCTTACTTTTCCAATAACCTATACTCTCTGTAATACCTTCTTACAGAAATACTGCACAGTCTTATAATGATGCATTCTCTGACCCATTGGAATGTAAGACCATAAAGGCAAAGGACACACCTTATCCATCTCTGTATCACCAGTGTACACAATTACTTGATGGTCTACTTTAACAATTATGACTAGAAATGAAGTAAATCAATCCTTAATACACAAAGGAAACTACGTGCTTTGTTCTGTGATGATAATCTCAGAAAAGAATAAATAGAATGAAAAAAATTAAGTGATTGAAATTTTAAACAAGGACTAAAAAACACATTGTGATAAATAACAAAAGCAAAATCCCTAAACATTCATTGTAGGTGACCATGCCAGATATATTCTTTGCATGTTGTATCCCTTTTTATTGATTATGTGACAAAAAATAGCAAATTCATTCCCATCCAAATTTACCAGCCTCTACTTGGTATGATTATTACAGTGCATTTTATGGAACTATGTCAGTTTGTGACACTAAATTCCAAGACAAATCCTATAGAGCTTTGAACTATACCTTACTGTGTCTGACAACTTTTAAACTTGTGCTTTTAATTTTAGCACAACCATATTTAGAACGTTGGTTTGAAAACTTGGCTTTTCTCTGTCCCCATGATTACAGCCTGCAAAGTAATCACAGTCCTTCTCCAGCTTGTTCCTCTGCTCACTGTGCACCTTCATTCAGGTATCAATTGATTTCTAATGAGCTATTAGTTCCAAGTGGCTCTGAAGACAATTAGAATCAACATTGTTTAAACTAAAAGGTAGTAATCACTATTCATATAGACATATGTGTGTTTAATTCCTTACCGGCCACCCACTTTCAAACCTTAGCCTGACAGCAACATTTCTCATACACTTTTGTCTCTAACATCTTCATAGCAACTAGCATTCTAATTTCTCGACTTTTTTTTACTTCTATTTCCCAGTGGGAAATCCAATCTGGTGATATAGTCAGTGACAAAGAACGTGCTAATTAGCAGATGAATGCAATTAGTATTTACCTCAAATGTTTTCAGGTAACTTCTCTTTCTGACATACATAGTTACAGTATATGTCAGCATTTCTAATTTTACACAACATGTACTCAACGAAAACATTGAAACACTGAAGAAAAAGACCACAAACCTAAACAATTCCATGTTAGTATTAAAAAGGATGAGAAATTCGAGCCTTTTCTCCAGTACAGAAGGTGCGTACCTGACCTCTCTGCTCAGCCGGTGATGGCCTTCTCTCAGTCTCCAGAGGAAGTAAAACCCCTTCTCTTCCATGGAGCCATCTTTGTGTCCTTTTGCTATATCACCATACTCATGCTGAAGTCCAAATTTTCTTCACCAGACTTTGACAAGTGTTCACCAATTTTTCTTGGTTCTGTTGCATTGTTGTCTGTTACATAATTCTTGCTTTTCATATACTGTATACTTAGCCTTCTCCAACTAGACTGGAAACGACTTGAAGAGAAAGACTATCATTTATTTTCTGCATATATCACCGTACCGAAAAATACTGCCTTATGTTTCGTAGGCCCTCAATAAACACTTGCTGACTTAGGATCTAAGTATCTCAAGCACCTAACAGTATTAGGGAAATGGATTGATGGATGGAGACATGGAATGACTGATGAATGGATGGAGGAGTCATAGACATCAGAGTAAAAGGGAACCTAATAATAATGGTCTGATTCAGGCACTTCATTTTTCAGATGAGAAAACTGGGACCCAAAAAGAAGAAATGACCTCCATTAAGGACAACACTACTTAGCATTGCAATTTTTATTTTGTATTTGCTGACTCATCTCGATGTAGTGATTCTCAAATCTTGTTCTCTATGCCTTCAACTAATTTTTCGCCTCCTCTGTCTCTGTGTACTTCATTGGGATTATTGGGAGTCTCCACATACCGCAAGTGCTCAATACTTTTAAGAATTGTGGTGGAAATATTTGTTTTTAATCTCTCCCACATATCATACATTTGCTGGGGAAAAACAGATGATTGCCTTTTCTTTGAGTTCTGTACTTCTTCCTGCTTCTCACGTGATTATGCTCAGAATTGATAATGAGAGTGGCTCCATCATTCTGGGCTTGTGACTCTAGTCAGGTCTATTAGACCTGCTTTTCCAAAGATTTTTTCAAATTAAAACTGAGATGAGAGGTTATTTACCTGAGGGCAGAGTTAGGAAGATGTGAGCCCAGGAAGAATAGACAGCCTTCATTGTAGCCTGGGGGAGAAAGTTAAATAATGAGAATAAAATCTACATTTAGAGAGAAGCAAAACAAGGACCAGAGAAGTGACAAAACATTTAGTGAACGCCAAGCAGTCTGCCATAGTTCTACAAACCATCTTTTTTAATACCCACAAGAAATTGTATGAGCAAGGCCATTTTATGAGCTAGCCTATATGGTACCTTTGTGATTTTCAGAAACGCTTTTTTTTTTTTAACTCCAGGCAGAGAAAGACTTGTGCCTGGATGCATGTCTTGGTGAATATACAGCAGGCTGGATTTCAGTCCACAAAAACCCCTCAGCAGGTACTTTGTGCAGTGCACAGCCTGCACAAGTGTATAGTGGCTATAAGCAAAGTTAGGTATATTATTTCCATTTTATGGATGAGAAAATTGAGGTTCTTCTATGTTACGTAACGCTTCTTAAAAATGCAGAGAGTTTTAAAAAAATGCTTGTTCCCATAGTTAGTAACAGAGCTAGACACTTACCTGAACCAAAGGTTTGTGTACCTCTCATCTTATCTAAATGTTTGCTTATCTGTGCTTATTATTGTGCTTGCTCTCTTCCTCCCTTCTCTCTCTTACTCTCTCTCTCTCTCTTTGCAGGTATATGTATACATCTACTCTCAACTCCACTCTCATTCCTCCAATGGTCCATGGTAGAGGCACAGTCAGAAAACACCCTAGTCTCTCTATTTGCATGGGGCTACTCAAGCCAATGGAAAATGCCAGCAGATGTTTTGAAATATGCAGGTACATATCAATAAAAATATAATAGGTTACTTCTAATAAGCATAAATTGATGTTGCTTCTTCTATCCTTAGTCCTTTCACAATTTCCATTTGAAAACAGGACAGAGATAGGGCCAGGAAAGATAGCACGTGTGTGCACACACACACGCACACACACAAGCCCCTTCCAAAATTATGAGAAAGCATACCAGCAGAGCAAAGAGCTTCAAGTATCAGTTTGCACAGAGTTGGAGATTTTCAGTTCTGCCAAATGAGTCTAAATTCAACGGCAACATAAGGAGCTAAATCTGTTGGGTGAGTTATACTTTACCTGGATAAATTAGATGTGCTTGGGGGAAGTATTCATTCTTTCAAGTTGGTAGGACAAATTTCATGCATTGGGACAATTACTTACCAAATACTATAGGCCTAAAAGAGATAACACAGTTTGTAAAGCAGCTGCATCTAATTGACAGTATAGCTTACAAAAAATCATTGATCAAGGGCCTTTTGGTACACCATTATGGCTATACTCACATTGTGAAAAGAGATTGGAATGAGACCAGAGTCTATCCTCCAGCAGTTTGTAATCAAAGCATAAAGCAGAGCCTACTTTTCAGAAGCACTGGAGCACTAGGCACATTTTCAGGAAATAATTATGCCCAGTGATAAAATGTAGATATCCAGTTACCAAACTGAGAAAGGCTGTAGATACTTCACTTCAGAAATGAGAAAAAAAAAAAAAAACTTGAACTTTTAAACTGGTGGAATAAAGGCAGAGCAGGGAAATTTGATATATATGCACAAGATGTGGTCCACAGCCCAGGGCAGGACTGAGTTTACAGGAAAGATGTCTTAAGAACATTGATATGAGGAGCAGGCTACCAGGCTGGTAGCTCTAATTGAACAAAGACCTGACCTCAAGGAATTTTCATTCCCTGGGGAAGCCAGACATATACATAATTAACTGCATTGTGTAATTGAAATGTGTTGTATCAGTACTTCTCAAAATTTAATGCACATAAAAATGTTGGGAATTTGTAGATTCTGATCCAATAGGTCAGGGATGGTTACAAGAGCCTGCATGTCTAATTATCCCAGCTGATGTAGACACTGCTGGTCTGTGGATCAGGTGGCAATACAGGAAATTGTAGACATAGGAAAGTACTATGAGAATGTACAGTAAGAAACGTTCATGGAAGACAATTCTCAGAATATAAGAATCCTGAGCTAAGCTCTGGAAAATGTGAACCAAGAAGATTTGGGTTTTGTAATAAGCTCCAACAAACTGGTGAGCAAAAACTAGATATGCATTGAGGGGCACCAAATACTTGTTACTAGAAGCTTTCATATTAATTTGATCACAAGTATAAAAAATACAACAATAGCCACAATGAAAAAGGAAAGGCCATGGGTACATCTCTTTCAGAATACTAAATTGTAAAACATTTGTAATTTTACAATCTTGGAAATGTAAACTCCAATTTGTTTTTCAAAATAAGAGTTATTGTAATGTGAACTCCGAATTTTCACGTTTGTCCCTTCTCTGAGTAAGCCAAGGGGATTGTGTTTTCATTCTGCTTTTATTTTGCTTGCCTGTTAGGAGAAACAAATTAAGGCCAAAGACTTTGTTTCCATTGACTCAAGCACCAAATGACCTGTTTCAAGATGAGAGTAAACAGCGGTCATGTAGACAGCCTTTAACTATGCAGCAGGTGTTGACACCTGTAGCTACTTAATCCCAGCCAAGATAATTGCCTCTCTCTCAAGGCAGCTGGCTCAAACCAGCCATTGTACCCCCCATTACTGAAACTATTTGGAGATGTTAAGTCATGGCTTTCCCTCAGGTAATACAGGAATAGAGAGGAGATTTGGCTGCTAGGAGGCCACTTTTGTCAACAGTGCATGTTGTTTAACCCACACCCCTGATATTTTGGCGGCCAAGCCTAGAATACAGCACCTGGACAGCAGGGTCTTTAGCCAGACAACATCAGCCAGCAAAGGGCACCACCTGCCAATGGCTACATCTAGAATTGGCTAGAGGAGAAGCGCTGTGTGGGAAGGAGAGCTAATAACGCATTATCAGATTGGAAGTTATTAGCATCATTAAGATCCTCTACTAAATTTGGATAAAATAAATTTGACCCTGCAATTGATTAAGTAATTATTTTTTAGGGTTTAAGGTGTGTATGTGTGTGCGTGCATGCACATGGGTGAGTGCTCATGATGCAAGAGTGAAAATTTCTCCTGTACCCTAACAAACACACACACACACACACACACACACACAGTTTTTTCAGGTTGTAAGCACTACAAATAGGTTCTCATTACACTGGAGATTAGCAGATGCTCATTACCATTTATCAAATTAGGCATGAGAAGTGCAAACTGCTAGGACATCAGCTCTTCCTAATCACTGTGCCCTCACACTTCAGAAACACTGCCCTGTCTCCCATATTGCAAAATATTCTATTTCAATCTCCACTCCAAGTCCAAACAAAAACCTTTACATATAAAGCCTGTGTTCCTGAGAGAATGTTAAGCCAGCTTTTAAATGAGAAAACAATAGAGTAATAGGCAATCATAAGCTTTGAATGTTGAAATGAACTGCTGGAGGTCAAATAGTTCTGCTAGCCTTCAGGAAAGAGAGTATCTAAATAATTCTGTACAGATGGGCACTCATTCCAATTTTTAACATCTCCAGGGAAAGAAACTCTGCCTTTTTACTTGGTTATCTTATTCTAATGTATTTTTTAATGTCAATTTTTCATTTATTTAGTCTATTTCAACCAATTTTAATGAAACAGATACTCGCTATGTCCAGATTTATATATTTAATTTAGGACTCCCAAAATTGGGGATTATGACACTCAAAAATGTGTTACATATTAAAATTTTTTAAATGTATTATTTTCTCTATATTACATACAATTAACAGAAATTATAGTTACAGGTACTTCATATATGAATAGTGAAAGCTTCCCATATGCTGAGCATTTCCTCAGTTTGTTCTATCAAAGCACTCATCCAAAAAATGTCAAAATGTCATTAAAATCCCTCTTTACCACAACAGCCCTTCCAGGGATTTTTTTTTAACCTGCTTTTTTATCCCCTCAATTGTCATGAAACAAAGTGTACATTTGGAGATGGCCTAGGTAGTCGAGAAAGTGGGAAAAGGGAATTTGCTGTGCTTTTTGACAACTCTATCTGTTAGATATAGGTGGGCTAATTTTCTTTCCCTTTCAGGCAAGATATGCACTGTATAATGTCTCTGCAAAATGCAACATCTTTTAAAATAACAAGCTATGAATAAGAAATTGGAACAGTGTTGCAGCTCCGAGCTTTATCATGAATGTTTAAGAATATGCAGGAAGTCTAATTTGGTCAATTATTTTCCCCAAAGACACAAAAATAGCAAAACAGCAGACATGGCAAAATAACCTATGTTATATGCTGTCAGAACCATATGATAAGACATTACTATCATCAGCAAAAGCCCCAGACTTCCCCAGCTGCAGTCTAAGGATGAATGTTTCTAAAATATACACCATGGGCCTCCAGAGTTGGAAAAGTCTTGGAGATGCTTCTAATTTGCCTGTGGAATATTGTTCCTTAATCTGTCTCCACACAGATTGGGACACACCTAGTGATGGTTGCTCATCAAATATCTGAATAGGTAGCTAAGATACCATAGATACAAATGAATACTAAAGATCATTTAGATCAACCATTAATTTTGCAACTGGTGAATTAAGCTGCATAGATATTTAGGAACGTGCTCAGGGACATATTTTGAACTCAAGTTTTTAAAATCTCAGATCAAGGCTGAATCCGAGTATATCAAGAAAGAAAATATATTATTAAATTAAAATTTTATTTCCAGAAGACACAAATAAGGCAGAAGAGAGAGGGAAAGTTATAATAGCAAGTTAACTTTAATGTTTTTTCGTTTTGTTTTTTTTTTTTTTTTGAGAAGGAGTCTCACTCTGTCGCCCAGGCTGGAGGGCAGTGGCGCGATCTCAGCTCACTGCAACCTCTGCCTCCCGGGTTCCAGCGATTCTCCTCCCTCAGCCTCCCGAGTAGCTGGGACTACAGGCGCATCCCACCACGCCCAGCTAACTTTTTATATTTTTAGTAGAGACAGTGTTTCACAGTGTTAGCAAGGATGGTCTCTATCTCCTGACCTCGTTATCCACCCGCCTCGGCCTCCCAAAGTGCTGGGATTACAGGCATGAGCCACCACACCCGGCCAACTTTAATGTTTAAATATTAAGGAACATGTATAATAGAAGTAAAAAATTGACTATGAAATCACAACATGGGGCTCAAGCCTTAGCTCTGCCACTTCATGAGCAAATTCACTGGGCAAGTCCTTTTCCTGATCTTGAAAATTACAAGGTTAGAGTGGACTGTTTGGAGTTCCAGTTTTACGTAATAAGTAATTCTTGAGCTTCATTGCTTATACTTGCTTTCACTGTGTTCACCTATAATAAAGCATAGTTCTCTTGCAGATTCTTCAGTCGTTTCTTTTTCTCTTCTTGGTCTCTTAAATTTTGAGCTTTCCCTAAAGTCAGCCATTGGCCTTTTATTTTCTTATGTTTCTATTTAAACTGTGTCAACAACTCTTCTTGCTTTAATCATAATCCATACACATCTGATTTCCTAATTCCATACTGATTAATAAGATTTTTGTCAAGTCTGCCTTAAAAATGCTCGAGAATATTCTTTTCTATTCTCATATTTATGCAGTCTTAGTCCCAAAGTTTCAATATCCCTTAAAGATTTCAAAGTTTTCCCTGATAATCTCTCTGTCTTCAGTCTGTCTTCCAATCCATCCTCTCTATGTCTATCAAGGTCTTATTTTAAAATATAATGATCATTTCTCATTTTACATACCCCAATTTCAAACTCAAATTTATCTCTCCATTGAAATTACATTAACAAGAACATGCCTAATACTTTTTCTAGTTTAATTTTCTACACTTTTCTCCATATTCAGTGTCCACACCAACCTCTCCAAGGAATTTGCTCTTAAACAACTAGCCATTTTTCCGATCACTACTGATAACGAAATTAAACTAAATGAATCTTTGAAAGCTGTGAATTCCAACAGGGCATGGGTCCTATCTCAGTCATTGTTATACATGTTCAGAGCCTAGCACAGCATCTGGCACATAGTAGGAACTCAATAAATGTCTGTTGAATGAATTCAGTATTATTGAATGAATACCAATTAAATTGCTATTAATTGGTAAGGCAAAATACAAAGAACATGGGACAATATTATGCAGAAGATTTTTAAGTGTTGAGCACTAAGAATATAAAATGAAAATTCCCTTTTTAAATGTTTGATTTTGTTCTGATGCAAGCTTTGGTATCAAATAGAAATAGAACTATAAATATAAATCTCTGATTCACCTATCTATGTACTCTTCTGTCCTAAAATCAGACAGAAAAAAATTACAAGTCTCTACAGGAAGACACTGATACAGCTCTGCTGAATTCTTAGTGTTGGACCAGCTTATATAGCTCTGTGTATTAGCTCTCCTAAATTATAAATCCTGCCTGGGATCTTGATTATTCAGATATCAAGGGATCCATCTACTACTTCTGCATTATAACATGTTAATCCAAAGCCAATTTTAAATTTCTTATATTTATTTTGCATGTGTTACATTTTTAAGGTGTTTTAAACATTTTAAATCTGTGGACGGCTACATATTTTTATACAATTTTCTCTGACTTCAAGGGCGTTTATGTTTCTTGGGTTGTTATCTAACATCCCCAGTCAGCCCCTTATACAATTCAGTGGATATGTGGGCTGTATATTTGAGGTAGTAAACCTTAGGCCATCTGGTTTGGATACTCAGGATATCTTAGTAGTGAGCTACACTTGCAAAATAATTTTTTCAAAATGAGAGCTACTAAGGCTATAACTAGCTATGTATATCTCACAGATTTGATGCCTTTTCCCAAGCTTTTATTGTGTGTTTCAGGGCAATTATCTAAAAATGAAAGGTTTCAATTGGGGAACTTTTTCATTTATGTTTTTATTCTCTCATTATTTCACAAGTATATGTATTATTTATCCGACAAACTGCAATATTTGATCTTCTGATTTTCTCGGGATTTCCTTTTGACACAGAAGCATCTATTCTGGGAAATGGCTCAGTAGATAAATTCATTGCTAATTAACTGTGGATGAGTTGACCATTAATTGAGTAGCAAGCTATATAAGATTTCTAAGTTTTCACAATTCCCTGGCATTTTGTCTCCCTTGCTATAAAATTTCTGAAGGAAGGGACCATATTTCATTCATTTTACAAATATGCATGAATGTCTCCTATGTGCTAGCTACTATGCTAAGCTTTAAAAATGGGACAACTGACCAAACAATGGCATCTTCAACTTATCTCTTTATTCTGTTTACAGCTTTGAAAACTATTATTACAATTGACAGCAGGCTTTTCAATAACTAAGGATAACAAAGGTCCATTTGGCACATTTCTCTACAGTGAGGTTAACACTTCTTTCATCTCTCTCTTCCTCTTCTTTTCCACAGCTCTTCTTACTGTGGAGGGAAAAGCCACTGTTCTGTCTTACTGACTTCTAGTCACGAACATTCAGAGACAGAAAACTTGTAAACCGGTAAAAAGGCAATTACCAAATGTTTAATAAGCAACTGTTATATGTGGTTCATTCATTTACTATTCAAATGCTTATTGAGCACATACACCAGTACAGGCAGTATCCCATAGTTAGGTTGAAGGAAAGCAAATATAAAGTGAAGAAGTCCTGTCCTCAAAACCTTTTAAGTTTGTTTGAGTCTATTTTTTCAGTCTACCAACTGGAGACCAATAGCCTGAATGGTGTCTAATTACTACCACACCCAAGTCCTCCAAGGAGAACTAGATGCATTCTTAGGCCTGTCCAGTGGGTCAGTTTTAATAACCTTCAATTTAAAGAGAAGGAAAAGATATGCAAAAAAGTAAAATCTTCTCATCTGTACTCCGGTCTTTGGGCTGAAATGTCAAGGGATTGTTAATGCTGCCTCATTTAATGATTAGAAATCTAATTACCTGGAATGGAGGGCTGCATTAGGAAAGTCTGGGAGCAGAAAGAATCTTTCCTATCATAAAGTGCTGCCACCCCTCTTCCTGGGGATCATCAGTGCTGATTTTTTGTCATGTGAGGGTCAAACGTGTTGAGATGACATAGCATGTTTCATTTAGGATATTCTTCATCAGTGCATTGGGCTTGATCCTGCTTTAGTTTTCTTAATATTCTTCATGCTCTGAGAAACAGAAAGTTTTGGGGTTTAATAACAACTGTAAAAGCTCAGTAAAACGAAAATCTGTTTCCAGGTCCCTCAGCTTCCCTAGAGCAAGACAATATTGCTTTTTGCTGATTATATAATACCGTTTTCTTTGTACCATCCTCCTGTTGAAGAAATGACAATGACCTGCCACCACTGAGAACATCACGTTCAAATTCATGCACTTCATATTTGTGGCCTTTGCCCAACCTGGACCCACTCTGCCAATCCTGATTATCTTTTGTCACACACCCTCTACTTTAGAAATCCCATCATTTTTGTTTTCAAGAGACTTGTGGCAAAAATTTGTCTCTGTGTTCCTGCCTGTTGTAACTGAATATAGTTTGAATTCCTATAACAGTCTATGTATGTTTCACAAATTTGAGTACTAAATTATTTATCATCTCCTATCCTTTCCTCATTGCTTTGTGTGTGAAGAAGACTTCAGGTCTAGAATGAGATCAAATGCAAAGTGCCATAACACTCAGTACTAGAACAAGCTCCATTGTATTTCACCTATGTGGTCTACTCACGTTACTTTGTAATTTTAAACCTCAGATTCTCTTAAGAGATATTCCTTCTAGGGCAAGAATGTACATGTACAACTTTCAGACTGAATCATGGACCACTGAAGATTCAGGGCAAGTTTCCCTTTGCTTTATATTTTTCAGAGCAAACAATACGTGTTTAATAAATAATTATTGGCTGGGAGTGGTCGCTCACACCTGTATCCCAGCATGTTGGGAGGCTGAGACAGGCAGATCACAAGGTCTGGAGTTCAAAACCAGCCTGGCCAACATAGTGAAACCCGTCTCTACCAAAAATACAAAAATTAGCTGGGCATGGTAGCAGACACCTGTAGTCCCAGCTCCTTGGAAGGCTGAGGCAGGAGAATAGCTTGAACCTGGGAGGCAGAGGTTGCAGTGAGCCAAGATTGCAACACTGCACTCCAGCCTGGGTGACACAGACAGACCGTCTCAAAAAAAATAAATAAAATTAAATAATTACCAACTTTTGTAAACATTTATATAAATATTTATAATGGAACTGTATACATTTTGGTGAGTCCATCATCTCTTTGGAGAATTAACCCAGAAAAATTTTGTTCAGTCCATGTTACTTGGATAGAGTTGACCCTCCCGTTCCCTGTATATGCACATGATCCACACTGATTGGCTCAAGGGTGTGTTTTTTTCTCTCCCTCTCACTCTCTTCTGTCTCTTTCTCTGAAATTATGAGTCATAAGGACATAGTAAAGTTAGAGCTGGCAGAAGCCACCATTAAAAATGTGTACAGAAAACCTGCTAATTGAATGAGTTGGACTTTTTTTCTTAACTTGTACTTAAATGATTCAATCAATATCATATTGTTATAATTTGAACCAATTATCCCACCTTGATGTATTTATACAAAGGAAATCAGGAGGAAAAAAATGTAAACACAAAGGGATATTCATCACAGCAGGGTGTGGGGCTGGGACTAAATTTCCAATATAAGAGAAATGAATAAATTACTGTGTATGAAATATTATATTGACATAAAATTTATAATTATAACATATATGATATATTATATGACATATAAATTTATAAAGTTTAACAATGTGGACACTGTAAAATCCAATATTAAATGAAAGAAGCAGAATAGAAAGCATGAATACTGTTACTGCATGTATACATTATTTTCTGTATATAGAGGAGAATTGAAAGAAACAAAAAATATAAAAGCTATTCATATTTAAGTTATTTGAGGGCTAGAATTCTTGTCTGTTTCATTTACTGCTATAGTTCTAAAACCTATAACAATGCCTGGCACATAACAGATGCTTTATCAAAATATATTGAACGAATAAGTATATGTTGTGAGTAAGGAGATTGTAGGTTGTCTTGTATTATTTCCATTTCTATTACGATGATTTCTGTGGAAAAAGGGGAGTATAAAAGAAAACATAAGGAAAGATTCTTCTGTGAGTAAAACACATTCTTGATTCTTACATGGGCACTTCTGGGGTATCCCGAGGCAAGGGAAAGGGAGGACAAGGTGTGTTACGGGAAGTCAGGGACCCCGAACGGACTGACCAGCTGGAGCCACAGCAGAAGAACATAAATTGTGAAGATTTCATTTTAATATGGACATTTATCAGTTCCCAAATAATACTTTTATAATTTCTTATGCCTGTCTTTAATCTCTTAATCCTGTTATCTTCGTAAACTGAGGATGTACGTCGCCTCAGGACCACTGTGATAATTGTGTTAACTG
The DNA here is from genome assembly GCF_000001405.40 of Homo sapiens. Classification (NCBI taxonomy): domain Eukaryota; kingdom Metazoa; phylum Chordata; class Mammalia; order Primates; family Hominidae; genus Homo; species Homo sapiens. Next base: position 49,611,460 of record NC_000002.12, read on the forward strand.
TAGAAACTGATTGTAAAACATGTGTGTTTGAACAATATGAAATCAGTGCACCTTGAAAAAGAACAGAATGACAGGGATTTTTATGGAACAAGGGAAGACAACCATAAGGTCTGACAGCCTGCAGGGTCAGACAAAAAGAGCCACATTTTTCTTCTTTCAGAGAGCCTATAAACAGACGTGCAAGTAGGAAAGATATTGTTAAATTCTTTTCCTAGCAAGGAATATTAATATTAATACCCTGGGAAAGGAATGCGTTCCTGGGGGGAGGTCTGTAAACGGCCCCTCTGGGAATGTCTGTCTTGTGCAGTTGAGATAAGGACTGAGATATGCCCTGGTCTCCTGCAGAACCCTCAGGCTTACTAGGGTTGGAAAAACTCCGCCCTGGTACATTTGCAGTCAGACCAGTTCTCTGCTCTTGAACCCTGTTTCCTTTTAAGATGTTTATCAAGACAATACGTGCACTGCTGAACACAGACCCTTATCAGTGGTTCTGCTTTTGCCCTTTGCCCTGTGATCTTTGTTGAACCCTTATCAGTAGTTCTGCTTTTGTCCTTTGTCTTGTTCCCTCAGAAGCATGAGATCTTTGTTAGACCCTTATTAGTGGTTCTGCTTTTTGCTCTTTGAAGCGTGTGATCTTTGTACCTACTCTCTGTTCTTACACCCCCTCCCCTTTTGAAACCCTTAAAAAAAACTTGCTGGTCTGAGACTCAGGAGCGCATCATGGTCCTACCGATATGTGATGTCACCCCCGGTGGCCCAGCTGTAAAATTCCTCTCTTTGTACTGTCACTCTTTATTTCTCAGCCAGCCGACACTTATGGAAAATAGAAAGAACCTACGTTGAAATATTGGGGCCGGGTTCCCCCAATATGGGTGCAATCGCTCTGGCTCACATTATCTTATTGAGTTCCCACAATATTCCATGGAGGTAGCTGTTATCATTATCTTATATATGAGGAAACCCAGGCTCAGAGAAGAAACTAGCTTAAAGGCGCTCCTGAGTTTAGACACCAATACCTCTGATGGGTTGTATATCTCTATTTAAACAAGTCTTTGAACACAAAACAAAACTAGACTGAGGACATATCAGAATTGCAGATCATATAAAGGTTGATAAACTAAGATTTAAAATAGTGTGCAATCGGCTGGGCATGGTGGCTCACACCTGGCCAACGTGGTGAAACCCCGTATCTACTAAAAATACAAAAATTTGCTGGGCTTGGTGGTGGGCATCTATAATCCAAGCTGCTCAGGAGGCTGAAGCAGGCAAATTGCTTCAACCCAAAAGGCGGAGGTTGCAGTGAGCCAAGATTGTGCCACTGCATTCCTGGGTGACAGAATGAGACGCCATCTCAAAAAAATTAAAATAAAATAAAATGAGCAAGAGGCAGAGGCCAGAGTGGGCACAACACCTACATCATTGATTCTTTTAGAATTCATTTAGGTGTATAGTATAAAATAAATTTAAAACATTAAAACACTATGTAAAAGCAGCACAGTTCCTTGAGCAGTATTTTGTTAGACACACCAATTCTCCTTTAATACTTGAGATTATGGCTACCATAATTGATAGCAAATGCAGTGTCAAGACACTGAATTGTGTTGTCTTAATTTATGAAACTGGAATCATCCATGTATTTGATGAAATGTGATAAGTGATTGGATTTAAAGTGAGCAGATAAAAGTAATCAGCATTACAATTTCATGTGAGGATGGTCTTTTTATCCTTATATGTGTGGAAGTAAATGACAGTAATGGGATCTCTTTATTATTAATTTGTCTAGGTGTTGTCCTCTATCAGCTTCAGATCAAAGAAAGACAAAAGTTAAATCTTCATGGAAGGATGCTCTGGGAATGTTTTACTAGCTCCAACAAATGGCAACTGTTGCCATACAAGAGCTATAGATCATCTGTTTATGAATTTGATTTGGCAGGGGGCTGGGGTAAGTGTGTGTGAGACAGGGACTGGGGATAGTAACCAGGCAACTATTTATATTCCCATAATTATTACCTAGATTTCCTTGTGCCCAAAGACTAACTCTAGAAATATTGATAGTGGCAACCTTCTTAAGTCAGTCTCTGCAAAGAACTCTAGTGACTTCCAGATCCTCTTGCAATATTAGAGATTCAGGGTAAAAAATGTTGGGCACTAAACTCTAATGTCCTCATACCTTTTTTTTTTTTTTAATCAATGGGTATTTGCAAAGAGGGAGCAATAGGTGGAATTTAGAGCCTATTTGGTGATTTCTCATTAGGAGTAAGGGCAGAGTTCAACAGCTTTTTATTTTCATTCCTATAATCAACCTCAAAGATTCTTCCCTATTACTTTAAACTTTTCATATTAGCATGTCTTATACTTTAAAACAGTCTGGAAGTAAAATGACAAATAGGACAAAATTAACTTTTTTTTTCATGTCCTCTTCTCTCTTTGGCAAGATTCCCTCTCTAGCACCCTGTACTACACACCTCTACTCAACCCCCATTATCCAGTATGCTCTGTCCAGCATAGACATGCTTCTGCTTCTAAGAAGCTACATACGTGTATCTAATTATACCTTTGTCTCCTTTCTTTTCTTAAGGTAGTTCATCTAAACATAGTTTTCACCTGTGATTGTTGTAAAGATTAAAGTATATAATATATAAATTATTTGAATATTAAAGTACTATATGAATGTAATTTTTACTATAATACTCCACAGATTCAGGGCTCTCACCTCAGTGAATTTCCGTTAATGTCCCTTTAGGACCTACCAGATGACAGGCAATAAAAGGAAGAATTAATAGACAATGCAAACTGAATCAAGCTGTATACAGAAGTCCACCTAGATGAAGACTGGGAGCTAATCACTGGATTTAGCAAAATAAAGATTGTTGGTGACCTTGAAAAAGCTGTTTTAGGAAGCTAGTAAGAGTGGAAGTCTAATTAAAGTTTTTTTTTGTTTGTTTGTTTTAAAGAATGGGAATAAGAGAAATCAGATGCAATAAGTATAGCAACTCTTTTGAGGAGTTTTGCGACATAGCAAACGAGCTGGTGGAGACCTAGGCTCAAGAGCAGGTTTGTTTGCAAGATGATAAAGAGGATTCAGTAGAGAGAGAGAAAAAAAAATGACAATACAGGAGAAAGATTGCTGGAGAGGGTTGCTGCAGTGCCTTTGGATTGGCAAAATCTGACAAGATGGGGCAAAGGAGGGGTTGGTGTTAGATGGCAGCACAAACATGTCATCCATCATAATAGAATAGGAGGCTGAAGTGATGCTAGTAGCTATTGAGTGTGATGGTGGGGGCTTGTCAAACTTTTCTTCTAATTTATATTATTTTCTTGGTGAAGTTGGAAGAATGGCATAAAAATGACAGTGAATTGGAGTTAAAATGAGATGGAAAAGAGAATGGAATATTCATTTGGTTCTGTGGAAGAGGAAATGGACTAGAACATGAAAGTATGACTTCTGGGCAACATCATGGGCCCAGTCGAGGTTAGTGGTTCTTAATTTAAAGAGATAGGCTATAGGCACAAAGTACAAGATGATACGGATTTCTCTGGAGTTAAGGTTTTACTAAATATAAAAGTCAAGAAGAGACAATGGAGTGTTAATGTTAGGGAGTGGTGATAATGATTCATTATGGAATTTAAAGGGAGGTGAGGACCTAAAAAGGCTTGGAAGTCAGTGAAAAGAATGTGGGATCAATGTATAATCAACATCAGGTTCAAGGACTATTGGAGTCAAGAAGCACAAAGAGAGAACTGCAAATACAAGCAATAGTGGTCAAATGTAGAGTGACTAAAATTGAGATTACTGAAAGATTGCATTTAATGACAATGTAAAGGTGTAAGTTATGATAAAGTCTTTCTTCAGACACCTGCATGGCTTGCCTCCTCACTTCCTTTAGGGTCTTGCTCCTCATACCACTTCTAGGGGAGACCTCTCCTCATTAACCTGTTTACAGTTTCGACTTCTTTTTACCCTCACTGGCACTTGATATCCCTATTTCCTATTTTATATTCTCTCCACGAATTTTTTACCATCTCACATTCTGTATATATTGATGTATTTATATTGTTTATCGTTTGCCTTCCTCTACTAAAATTTAAAATCAAGAAGAACCAGGATGTGAATCTATTTTGATACCTACAGCTTCTCTAGGGACTAGAACATTGCCTGGCACATAGTAGACTAGGCACTCAATATATTTTTGTTGAATGGCTTGTATAAAGCAATTGTCCACTTGACTATGACTATCCCAAAGAACTAACAACTTCTCTTAAGTTTATAGCTTCTTCTGCATAGTTGAATTTTCTGAATAGCTGAGGATAAATTAGTAAAGTTCCTATTAATTTTAGTTATTTTTGAATAGAAATACAAATAAGAGAAAAAATATGGAGCTGTCTTTCACTGTAAGTTCAGTTAAATGGGACACTAACCATTTTTCAACTATTTTAGGTCATTACTATAAAACAAACTATTAGACTTTCCTAAAATATGTATGAATTTTGATCCCTTCCAAAGAAGCATGGACTACAATACTTTCAGTTGCACCTATTCCTTTTGTCTCCTCTTTTCTGTCAGGCAATCAACTATTGTGTTATACTGGAATGTGTGCACATTCCTGAAACAGATCTTCTACCACTAACATGTATTCCTACTCCATAATTTGCTGTTTTCATATATTTTGAACCAATTTTACAGGATTTATGTAAAATAAGAGAATATAGGCATTAATTGAGGGCACTAGGGCTACAAATTTTTGTTATCTTTATTTCCTACATCTAGATTCCTTAACTGTGTGCTAGAGAGGGGAGATTGATAGATATTGAATTAAGAAGATGTACAAAGTTACTGTAATTTAGGTCATGTGGTATTTTTATTGCTCAAATTTCCCTTTTCTCATGTAAATGGCTGCCTTCTCTATCTATTCATATGGCCAACCCTATGTTGATAGAGCTAAACACATAATGACATCATGAAAATGTGCAAGAAGAAAGGATACCAACTAAGGTCCTCTGGAAAAACCCTGTCCTTAAAATGTGCTCATCTACTAAATTCCCAAAGACTCATAGGACAAAATTCCATTTGAAGGCACGGTCTTGCTAAAGCAACAAATGGCAAAACATTTCAAAAAGAAGAAAAAGCAGTGTATTTGACTAGTTTTAAAGATAATGCAAAGGTCTATGATAAATCTTGAGTAATTCACCTGACCTAGATTTAAATAGCACAAATAATTCTTGCAGAAATAAATGTTTAGTTCTTAACAAACGTTCCTATAGCTTCAGGTATTACATTTAGAGTTTATGTTGTTTTTGGAACTTCAGTTCTACTCCGTAATTTTTTGGGGAAAAAAATAGCCAACTAAGAGTAAGAAAAGCAGAGTTCTTTTACTGATTTCTGACATAAATTATCAAGTCATATCCCTGACTGTTGTGCTTTGTGGGCCTCAGTTTCCTCACCTGTAAAATAATCCCCAAAGTCTCTAATAGTCTAAATTCTACAACACATTGCTGTTGGATTAAAGAACTGAGGAGGAATTCTGCTTCCACCAGTAGAGGGTAGTGTTACCTAGACAAGATCTCAACATGAGTCCAGGACAGATGGAGCAAAGAAAGCCGAATTTAGAATGGAGAATTGGTAGCTACCTACTTCTCCCAGTCTTGAGTCACCAGACCACAAATGCTTCTCCACAAAATAGCAATCTTAGGCAAGTGTAGAAACGCACTCCTCCTCAATAATTTGCCACTATTCCCAAAATGGTCACATTACTCATTTCTATTGGAATATGAACAGAAATTTAAACTCCTGCAATCTGTGTTGTTTTCTGAAATTTAAAGTTTGTTCTATGAATACATTCATTTATATAAAATACAGCAGCTTGTCTATACATATTTGAACATTTCAAAATTACAGTTGAAAGTAGCAGATTTTTCCTCCTGCAAAAATATTTAAGAAGTATTTATAAAATTTGATTATGTTTAATATCATGCTGAGAGAGAAAAACTTAATTGTACTTTTTAATTTACATGTAACCAGTCATTGGCTTGTAATAGGTAATTTTGAATTTCTAAGTATATAATGTATAGTCACAATAATGGCTGAAAATATGAATCTCAATCAGCCTGCAAAATTTACAGAATGCCTCTCATTAAGGTGATTCCCACATGTGTCACGAAAGTTATCTAAGAAATGGATTTCTGGCCAGGTGCAGCGGCTCAGGTCTGTAATCCCAACACTTTGGGAGGCCGAGGTGGGCGGATCATGAGGTCAGGAGTTCGAGACCAGCCTGGCCAACACAGTGAAACCCCGTCTCTACTAAAAATACAACAATTAGTAGGGCATGGTGGCATGCGCCTGTAGTCCCAGCTACTCGGGAGGCTGAGGCAGGAGAATCACTTGAACCCAGGAGGCAGAGGTTGTGGTGATCCAAGATCGCACCACTGCACTCCAGCCTGGGCAACAGAATAAGACTCCGCCTCCAAAAAAAATTTAAAAACTAAAAAAAAAAAAAAAGAAAAGAAATGGATTCCCATATAGCAAGTTCTGTCTGGTAGGATAAAGCTGATGCATGTGAAATAGTAGCAGAATTAGATAGTTTAAGATGCTGTCTGTTCAATATTAAGTCAGTAGGAGACAAAAAAAAATATTCATCAAAAAACTGACAAAACAGATGAAGACAGGATGAATTATAGTCAATGGAGAATCCTTCAAAGAGGGTGTACCGTTTAACAACTACAAATTAAAAATTAGGCAACACATGTAAAAGTACATTAAAAGCGCCAAGGTACTATGCCCACGTGAAGTATTATTATTATTACAGCCTTGGGGTTCATGGTTACCATGAGGCTCTGTCCTTGGTGACCCTTGGAAGGCACTTTGGTAGAATCTTTCCATTTCTGCTTCTTCTTTGACCTTTATCAATGATAGAAGTCCTACTTCGTATTTTTTTCTGTTAATATAAATGTGAAAGCCTACAAGTTAACACAGAATATGTAATTACAGAAATATTAATACATAAATGATATCAATCCACCCAGATCCAGGAAAGCACCTTGCGCTGTACTAGTCACAGCCTAGACAGCAGCAATCTGTCTTTCCATGCAATACACCTCTGATGCTATTTCTGGTTGTAAGACTGCTCCCTTTTGGGTGGAGTTAAAATGTTCTCAGATTAGAAGAAAACCTGGCTACTTGAGAGAAAATAAAATCATGCTTCCTCCCACCCCCCATCCCTTCTCTTTTGCCTGTGGCAACTATAAGTGCAATAAAATGTGAGAGTGGGGAAGAATTGCTATGGCAACAAAGTGTGCTCTAATAATGAAAATGGCATCTAACGAGCAGAAGCAGCTAGAACTTTAAGGGAAAGAGAAAAGAAGTGTGCCTTGAAGAAGCAGGAAGAACAAATGTAAAAAGTTTAACGTATTCCCTTCTCCAGCCTACATATATTGGCCCATTTAGAAAAGTTAGATTTGTATCTTAACTTCCTCTAAGGAATATTCTAACAAGATAAGGTTTTATAATTTACTGGGGGAAACAGGAGGTTGGGGGTGGGGGCAGGGGTAGAAATTACCGAGTCATTCCTAAAAGTGGAAGGAGAAATCACTTCCTTTGATCTAGAAATATAGGACAATGTACAGTCACTTAGGGGATCCACAGAGGTATGTGTGTCCAGACTCTCTGGTTCTAGGCCCAGCTTTCCAGCTTCCTGATTTCTTTGACAACATAATTCTCTTCTCCACAAGAATTATTTATCAAAACAGCTTCCAAGTTGTAGAGGGGCCTGGAAACAATGCATACTCATCATAACTAGAATGAACATGCAAGTTGAGAACCTTAAGGAAAACAGGAGGGGTTGGTGAGAACCATACATTGGGTTGAAGTAAATTGAATCTATTCCACCTATTTGTTCAAAGAAATGTATAACTGGGGTATCATTCAGAACTGGCTAGGTTATGCTGCAAAATAAGCCAACTGCAACATTTTAGTGGTTTAAGCAAAAAACGTTAATTTCTCATTCACACTGTCAACAACACAGAGGTAGAATGCTCAGCTTCATATCATCCTCATTCTAGGAGTTAGGCTGAATTTTGCCAGTATTGGGTCACGGATGAAGAAGAATATCTGAGGGTCTTGTGGGAGTAATTATTAATAAGTGCTCTTATCTGAAAGTGAGAATTGTCACTCATGCCAATTCTACCTATAACACATTGGCCAGAATGACCCTGTCCGATTTCAAGAAAAAGATAATGAATAATCTTCTCATGTGTTCGGAAAAAGAAAAAAAAGAGACAAACATGATAAATCTACTAAAGTATGACGGTACCCAGAATTTTTATGTAATAATGTAGGTATAACAAACATTTTACTTAAGATTCACATTTATGTTCTCTGGCAAAGTGGTACGCCACTGCATTATATGTAAAGCCATTTTATTCCCTCCAATAATGTGTATGGATAGAGACAGGAGAGAGGCTTAAGTATTCTAGGTAGCACTAGTGAAGAAGCAGTCTGGTCATTTGAACTAACATTCAAAACTGAGGGATTGCAGACTCCACCTACTGGCAACAGTGGCAAATTTTTCCAGGGGTGTAGGTTGAGGCCTTGTCATCCATCAAAAGTTGGGAAGATGGATATAAGGATCCGGTTTCTCAGAATCTGAAAGCTGCCGGAACCTCCTGACAGTTGCTTGTACATATTTCCTCATTCAGATCTTTGTTAAAGGTGTTCCTCAACTTAAAGCAAAAAAAAAACTAAAACTTGTTTTCCTACTTTCCTACTTTCCCCTTACTTTAGTTCTTCAAGCTCAGTTCAGGTCCCATTGCTACTCATTCCATTCTTTGAACTACCATTGCTCTCATAATCAGAATGCATTTCTTTTTTAAAAAAAAAATAGTGGTTCTCTACAATTCTATAGATTCCACTTTTTCTGCCTTCTCAGTGTAAACCCTGTGACAACAGTAACCATGCCTTTTCTCTTTTGCAGTCTCTCCTAGCCCTTAGCACAGGGCTGTTAACAAAGTTTACAGACAATACATATTTATTGATACACCAGCAATTGGAAAAGGAAGAATAATTTTTATTGAGAATCATCTGAACTAATGCAAATATACTTTGGGTAACTATGTTGTCACTAAAGCTTTATTTTAAAAGGCAGCTCTCTGATCTTGAGTCTATTGACACTTCAATCCTTTCAAGCCCCTTCCAGTGAGTTGGGAAAGGTAGTAAGAGAAAAAGAGTAGTTAGTGATGAGAACAATATGGCCTAGGGAAGTAAGAATTGAATTGGAAACCTGGAGCTTGGATTCTATTCTTGGCTCTGCTACTCAGAAGCTATATAAAGATGGGCCTACACATCTTCATCTATGAAAAGGGGATGCTTGCAATTGTCTTGGCTACTTTATAGAATGTTGTGAGAATTGAATAAAATCATTTAAGAGAAATCTGAAACTTTAAAAATACTTTACAAATGTAATTTTAAAGTGAGTTCACTAAGAAGGATCAAACTTGTATCTAATGTCTTTTGTGCTATGGGAGGAATTTCAGCAAGGGTAGGAGGTATGTCATAAATCTCTGATAACACATGTTCTGAACTCTTTGAAAGCATTGTATCTAATCATCACAAAGTCCTGTTGCTAATTGCAGGGGGTTTCTCCCTGGGCATTCAGTTCAGTTTGCGAAGTGTTATATTTATAACTTTCTGAAGCCTCACTCCCTCTCAGAATCCCAGGAAATAAGAGTGTGATCTGATTGTGACTGAAGATTGCAGGTTGATATTGTCAGGCTGGTGGTGATTTCCAACAAAAGCAAAACAGCAGGTATCACTGAGAGAAGGGCAGTAAAGCTTTCCACAGCTCTAATAGGGCCTGCCTCCCCTCCTTCCTTCCCATTCTCCCTACCTCCCATTGGAAGAGAAAAAGATCATGGCTGCAGTCAGAATAAGCCTGCTTACCTACAAAAGTGGGCACAGGCGTGGGTGGAAAGACAGGCTTATAGGGGCTTTAGCAGTAGTGAAAGAATTACCAACAGCAGGAGAAACTCAGATTTTGAGGCATGTGGATGAGAAATAATGATAATCCTTCATGAACTGCAGGGATTCTGTACTGGAGAAAAATATATGAGAGCTCAGCAGCCTACCCTACAAGGAGCTATTAATGGTGAGGAATATGGCAGACAACACGGGTGTGCAGGCAGGGCACCTGGGTTTGAGTTTCAGTGCCAAGTTATTACTGTCCTTAGCTTCTCTGAGCATTAGTTTTCTCACCTAAAAATAGCAAAATAGGAGCAATAACAACAGCTATTTCAAATCTTTGGTGCAATAAATGAGAATATTTATGGAAGGGCCTTTCCTTTAATAAGAGTAATTGGTACATAGCTTATAATTATGAAAAGACATTATATCAATATTCTGCAGTGATCCAGGCAATGAGGATTATGAATGATTGTGATATAGATGTAAAGAAACAGACCTGGGAGCAAAAGAACTTACATCTAGCATCGTGGACGTAACACAACCTGAGAGCTCGACAATGGGGAAAGCAGATTTAGAGTCCTCTGATTTTCTTACAGAAATTCTGAGATTATAGTTGTAAGGATATGCAGCATGTGAGAATTGTGGTCTTGCAAAGATGTTAACATCCTAATGCCCAGAACCTGTGAATATATTACTTTACATGGCAAAGAGGAAGTAAGGCTGCAGATGGAGTTACGGTTGATCATCAGCTAACGTTAAAATAAGAAGATTATCCTTCCTAGATTATCAAGTGGGCCCAATATTATCACAAGGGTGTTTGAAAGTGCAAAAAAGGCCAGGCGTGGTGGCTCACGCCTGTAATCCCAGCACTTTGGGAGGCTGAGGAAGGCAGATCACCTGAAGTCAGGAGTTTGAGACCAGCCTGGCCAACATGGTGAAACCCTGTCTCTACTAAAAATACAAAAATTAGCTGTGTGTGGTGGCACGCAGCTTTAATCCCAGCTACTCAGGAGGCTGAGACAGAATCGCTTGAACCTGGGAAGTGGAGATTGCAGTGAGCCGAGATCACACCATTGCACTCCAGCCAAGGTTACAAGAGTGAAACTCCGTCTCATAAAGAAAATAAATAAAAGTGCAAGAGAGAGTCAGAGAAAGAAATGAAATGACAGAAGCAAAGTCAGAGTGATACAATGTGAAAAATCAACCAGATATTGCTGGATTTGAAGATACGGAAGAGGGATCATGAGCCAAGGGATGAAGGCAGACTCAGGGAGCTGGAAAGGGTGAGGATGTGGATTTTCAAATTTTCTCCCAGAGTCTCTAGACTAGGAGAAATGCAGCTCAGTCTACACCTTGATTTTAGCTCAGTGAGACCCCATGTTGGACCTCTAATGTACAGAACTATACAATAATAAATTTGTACTGTTTTAAACCATTAAGTGTGTTATAACAATACAGCAGCAATAGAAAACTCATGCCATATTCGAAGTAAGGTATTAAATGCTAAGTAAGGTCTAAGTGTTAATTTTAAGAGGTTTGCACATGAGAAGTGTGAGTGGGTAAGCAAAACAAAGACTGTAATGAAAATTAGTACACAAAATTATTTATTAATATTTGCTCCACAACTTAAAGAAATGAAATTAGAGATAACCACCTACGTTCAACCTCTTCACTTCACTGAGGACATTCAATGAATACTAAAGCCCACAGATTCAATTGTCTTTTTGTGAAATAAAGTATGTGGCTTATACAACATGTAGAGGAGTTGTTGTCAGAGTGGGTAGAAGGTTTGCTTTGGGCAAAGGGATAGTCTTTTTTTTTTTTTTTCCTTTTTTTAAAAATTAACGATGAACTACCTCAGCTCATTTTCTCATCCTACAGTCTACTGGGTATATTTAATCCAGTCTGAACTTGAGGAAAATATCATGAGTAAGGTAAATCTCCTAGACAGCTGTTTTATAAAGGAAGTTTTGTATTTTCATGGCGTAGTTACCAATATTCTTTTCAAATGAGATTTTTGGAAATGATTTTTCTGCAAACTTGGAATGAAAATACCTGGATCAGACTTTGAATTCAGAAGGCAAGTTTTCACCTCAGGTGTTAAGCATTTGAATCAGGACCTGTCTGTGGAGTAGCTGTGTAATATCAAATGCTTTTGGAGAACACTCTTGAATATTTGCATTTGCAGACCAGTTCTGCAAAAGGGGTATTCTTCACTCATTCTATCACAACTTTTCCTGAAGAAAATGCCATTGTTTTATAGGAGCAGAATTTAAAGCGTAAAACCTTTTGTATCCATTACATTGTCATTGATCCCCACAAGCCTCCGGATGTTTATCTGTGTGCTCTATCAAGACAGGAAGACATGGGTAAAATTAAAATTGGCGATAAATAATGTACCCACATTTAAATATTTTCTATTTCTGGAATTATTGCTAAGATGTAATATTAATGGAGAAACATTACCAAGACACACAAGGAGCATGTGTGTACATATGTAGGTAGTGGGTATGTTTGTAGGGTCAGTAGCGCGACACCTATAAGAGATAAGAGCATTCTGTCCACAAATTCTAACTGAACACTCACAGAAGGACTTCATAAATTTTTACAAATGCAACTCAACTATTAAACACAAAGTAAAAACAGGAGCATCACTCTTGCTCACACCAGCTATATGCCTAATTTGCAGCTTTGCAGTCTTTTCAGGTTCCCAATGGACACTATTCAAATTATGTAGCTTAAATGCACTACTCAGTTTGCCTGTCCCCACATATCACTGCCCAGATCTTTTAGATTTACCGGATTTTCCCACAGCTACATGAAAATAACTGTTTCATCACATAATGATTGAGCTTTTAGTGTTTACCTAGTCAGGGACTATTTCTCTAATAAGCTATGCCTGAAGTAATTTCTAAAGCAACAATACTAAGAATATTTGTTATTGAATGGAGCCCTTACCAGTCATTAGTTGCTGTTAAGCCACAATTAGATCACTTTTTGACATGACATAAAATTAGTTTGGCATAACTGATGCATAGGGAAAGCTGTGTACAATCTCTTGCTTTTTGTAATTCAAAATGAAAGGTGATGCTGTATATGCAGGGTAACTGGTTTTGCCCTATTTCTCTCTCTCTCTCTCTCTCTCTCCCTCTCTAAATATATATATATATACACACACACACACACACACACACACACGTATATATGCATATATGTATATATACATATATACGTATATATGTATATATATGTATATACATACATAGTGTGTGTGTATATATATACACACACACTTGAATTAAGTGTTGCAGTTTATAAATTATTTCAGGTTTAATTCATAGTCACTCCATTTGCACACTCAAATTTATCATTCCCTAGCCGATAATTGTGTATGTGTGTGTGTGTGTTGTGTGTGATGTAAAAATGAAGGCTAAAAATTGAAATGGTTTATATAAAGGTAATATCCATTTATCAAATGCTTGATATTTTAGAAACGTCAGGCAGGGTGCACATTTTTATTCACTTTTTAGTTTAAATCTAGAAATTATTTGGCTGGTACATATGCTAGCTTTTACTAAATGTTATGTTATAAAATGCAAGAAGTATCTATGAACAGCTTAATACACTCCATTTCTGCTTCTGCCAAGAAAAAAAGTGGAAGATTTTGTGCTGTTGAGAAAAGAAGTGTTGAAATAACATTTTTCTACTATTTCTTTCTATATAAAATGTTCAGGCTCTGAAAACTCATCTACAAATTACTTATGGGATATTCATAGGGTAACTACACATCTGGGTCAGCTCACAATAGTTCTAGTTTAAGCCAGTGCCCTCTGTGAATAGGAACACCATTCCACTTTCAGAAGTGTCATGGTTTGAGTGATAAATTACATTAACCATCCTAGATGTTAAGGAAATTGTTAGATATTTAATAAAATTGTTGTCCTTAATTACTATTTAATTCAATTAGCAAGTTTTACTAAACATCTACTGAAGGCACATACAAAATGTTACAGGAGTATATAACATGATTCTATCCCATAAGAAGTTTGCAACCTTTGCGTTTTTAATCCAATGTAACAAATTTGACAGTACTCTCGTAAAGAAAAGCACTGTTTCCCAGCAAATTATAACAGTCATATGACACAAGCTTATATCTTTATGACCTTGCATACTTTATCTGACCTTGCTAAGCCTATTTCTGTGTTCATAAAGTGAAGACAAATGGAGGATTCTTAACAGAATTGTGGTGAAGATTCAATGAAATAAAGTCTGCAAAGTGCTTAGCAGAATACCTGTCATATGGTCAAGCTCAAAAGATATTGGCCAAAAAAGCACAGACAAATGAATAGATGGATGGATGAATTAACAATTAACATATTCCACAAAATTAATATTTTTGTTGAAATGAATGAGAGAGAGGAAAGGGCAAGCAATTTTTTATGTATCCCTCCCATTCTCTCCCTTTACTTTCTATGTGATTTGGGGCAAGTTATTTCATCTCTTTGTGCCTCAGTTTCCTCAGCTCTACAATGGGAAAATAGTCCAAGTGCTGTGAGGATTCAGTACATGTAAAGCACTAGTCCGTAGTGATTGCTCATGAAACTTTAGTTATTGCTATTTCGTTTAGCAGCTATTATTACATGAAAAACATAATAATGAGAGGAGATGTGGACAGTGCTCTACTGAAAAAAACAGCGGATCACATTAAATGTCTCCATTATTAAAGATTTTTAAAAGGAATGGTTTGCGAATAGGTTAAATCTAGAACCCCTCTGAGACTCAGTACTGTCCTCTTTCTTTCAGTGAGCATGATTACTCACACACATGATTATTTGCTGCAACTAAAACAACAAAAGTGAACAAACAAAAAAAACCTAGATGATGTGGTTAAGTCAGATTCAGCTCCTGAACTACAGGCAGCTTAAGAGGTTCCTTCAAGGCCAAATCTGAATGCTTATAATTCAGAGTGTTTCTCAAAAAAATATTCATAAAAATATTTGTGTAAGCAGTGCTTCAGTAACTGAGTGTTCTTTATCACAAGCAGCTGTTCTTCCTAACCTGCCTTAAAAGGAAAATTGTTGCTATTATTGTAGTTCCAAAGATGAGATGGAGGGAGGTGAACTGCCTGGACTAAGGTCATGTATTATGTCAAAAGCAGAGATAGACCAGAAGGAAAAGTAAAAGTAAACAATTATTTTCTCCCAACAATAGTGATGCTTCAATTCTAAGACTATTACCTTTCATTGCCTTGACTTTACATTTTGGCAGATTCTACTGCTTTTGAAAGCAGCAAGCTTTATACAATTCCACCTACTTGAATGAATGAGTTTTTAAAAATCACAAATTTCCAAATGCTGGTTGTTAAACTTCAACTCTCAGTGCATTTATTAAAGAAACAACCTATCAATCTAGTCAGTCTACTATGTTCTAAAATAATAAGTGGAGAGTTGAATCTGGGCCCTATACTCATTAGCTGAGCAGCTAGCCTTGCTCAACTGGGGGCTTTTGACACTGAAACACAACTTTTTCAAATAGCCAGGGGGTATGTGGGACTAGCTTCTAGTTCTTGTCACGTGTCCCTGTTATTTGGGAAAGCACTTTATTCAACTGAATCATTATTTTTCATCAATATTAAAAGCGGCAGTAGATCATGGAGTTGTAGCCAGACATCTCAAGTCAATGTAGAAATTGGTGAATATCAAATGAGGCAAACATTCTCAACATTTAACTTCCAACTATCTCATGAGAGAGTCAAAGCTAAAGAACAGAGACCATGCCTAGAAGAGCTTTGTAAGATTTCTTTAGCTTGACTTTGTGGGTTTTTGTTCTGTTTTGTTTTGCCTCCTGGCTAGTTCATCATAGTAATTAATATGGAAATGTGGGATACCTCTTTTGTTATCTGATAGCAACATCATGGAGTCAAAAGCTGGGGTGCCAATTCCTTTCCACAATCTTCAGGGAAGAGTGATTTAAAGGGCAGTGATGCAAAGCAGGCTGAGCCCCTAGAGTCTTTTAAAAGTGTATGTGAAGATCCACCTTGAGTCTGATGTGTGACCTTGGAGGTTTGAGCAGACAACTCGCATATGGAACTTTTATATTGAAGAAAAACAGTCTTAGCTGTCCAGGAAATTATAAAGGACACTCAAGAGCCTTGCTTAGTACCATCATGGCCCCATTGCCTATGGAATATAGTCCTAGTCTACCTCTTCAAAGATATCTCCTTTCAAACGCACTATATTTTATGTAACCTAAATTATTTGCAGTTCCATGTACAAACCCAAGGCATTCCTGCCACAGGGATATCACTTAATTTCTTCCTCACATTCAAACTCATTGCACCTTCATCTCCACATGTGTTCCTTATCTCAGTAACTTGAAAATCCATTTACTGACACCACTAATTGTTCAAATTAAAAATTTATAATCATCCATGAATGCTTTTTCCTACCTACCCATCAGACCCCTCAATAAATCCAGATTTCAACCACTTCTGACCGCTTCTCCTACTTCAAAGCAGGTGCAAGCTACCTCCTTTCTTGCCTAGATTATTGCAGTAACCTTCTAATCAGCCTTGTTTTTCCCTTTCACTGGAAAGCAGACAGTGATTCTGCTAACATATAAACCATTTAAAAATATATCATTCCTCTGCTTAAAATTTTCTTTACTTCTCATATCAGCCAGACTAAGGCCAGTGTCCCAACAGTGACCTGTAAAACCCTGTATGATCCACGTTTGTCTTATCTCTTTAGTCTCATCTCCTATTTCTCTTCTTGCTTATTCTTCTCCAGTCAGAATAGCCTTTTTGCCTTTTTACAAACCAATCACATTCCCTCCTTAGACTCTTAATACTTCCTGGGCAATTTTCTTCTCTTAGTTATGCAAATGGCTTTTCTCTTTACCTTCTTCAGGTATCTGCTTAAATGTCGTATTCTCTGTGAGAGCTATCTTTGGTAGTATCTGCCATCTAGCATATTGCATATTTTATTTATATTGTGTTTTGTGTTTTTCTTTTTTTCTTTTGAGACGGAGTCTTGCTCTGTCACCCAGGCTGGAGTGCAGTGGCGCGATCTTGGCTCACTGCAAGCTCCGCCTCCCGGGATCACACCATTCTCCTGCCTCGGTCTCCTGAGTAGCTGGGACAACAGGTGCGTGCCACCACACCCGGCTAATTTTTTGTATTTTTAGTAGAGACGGGGTTTCACTGTGTTAGCCAGGATGGTCTCCATCTTCTGACCTCGTGATCCGCCCACCTCGGCCTCCCAGAGTGCTGGGATTACAGGCGTGAGCCACCGCGCCCGACCTTTATTGTGTTTCTGTCTCCTTTCATTAGAAGGGAAGTTCATTTCAGTAGAGAGGTTTATTTATTTTGTTTACTTTTGTGTCCTCCAGCACCTAGAGGAGAGCCAGGTATATAGTAGATTCTCATTACACATCTCAAGAATGAATGAGTAAATGAATTAGTAAAGTCACCTCTTTACATCGCTAAAACTCTTTATGAGCATCTCAAAAAATAATTGATTCTTTATTCCTTGAAGGGCCATAGTTCCTAGAGGGTTTGGAAGCACCCAATTCCCAAGTTCCAGATAGCAAGAATGGTAAAATCTTTTCAAAGATATGTCACTATTACTGTTAGGTTCTGGTTACAATTCTACGAACTCCCTGTGGGCAGAGTTAATCTGAAGTGCCTTTGAAAAAAAAAATGCCAATTACCTCTTGGTTTCTACTCTCCCCAGTACCACGACATCCCCCCATGATTAATTCTCACTTCATTTTCCACACCATCAACTTCAGAGCCAGCACTGTCTTCAAACAAATTACTAAAAGCAACATGATAACCTGGCAGAATTGTCTTCACTTCAGTCATCTTTCTCTCTTTGAAGTTCAATCCCCTCTGCTCTTATCAGATTATTTTAGTAGATTGTATGTGATGTTTTATTGGTTTTGTGGCTCTATTTCAGTATGAACATTTTGGCTTATTCTAACGAGAGGTGATATAAATTTGCTAATGACATGAATAATTATAAGTCTAAACATTAGCTGGGTATGTGACGCTGGTAGAATGCCTCAGTGAAAAACAAACCCTGTAGAAGCCAACAAAGAGAAAAAATGACAACTATAATCAAAGTCTTTCTTCCCTTCTGGCAACTTATACGCAGATAGCACCTAACGCTGAGTACATAAGCAAATGGTAAGGAGGTGGAGGATATAAACTAAGTTTTCAGTTTATAAAGTTGGTAGATTACAGATAAATGGTGGATGTGGGCTGTGATGGGCTCTAAATTGCTGATTGAGATGAATAGCTCAATTAAATTTTAATTGTCTAATATGTATTATGGTCTTAATTGTTACAAGGCACTGGGGTAGTAATTTCCAAGAAAACATGAATAATATTGAGTAAGCATCATTTTTGTTTCAAAGAGCTTTTAACTTAATACAGAAGAATATAAATGACTACATTACAAAGACATAGTTGCAGATTGGCAAAAAGATATAGGCACAAATTGCAATGAAGTTCAACTGATGAAGCAGTTATAATTAATTCACCTGTGTTTGCTGAGGAAGCTGGGGAAGAGGACAGGAAATGAATGTGGATGTATGTAAATGCTGAAAAAAGCCTTCCCCTATGCAGAATCTAGGATGAGTTCTGAAATATAAGATTTTAATAGTCAAAGATGTTCAGGAAGAGCATGTCAGGAAGAAGATGGCAAGAAGTGAATGTAAAGTTGGAAAAATTCAGAATACAGTAAAATAATCCACTGGGGTGAAGCACAGGGAAGTGACAGTAAGAAGGGCAAAAAGACAGATGGAGTCAATATTTCAGACAATCCTTGAATATCAGGCCATAACTTTGTACTTAACTTACGGGAAATGGTGACCTCAGAAGACTTTGGAGCATGGGTAGGAACATGATAAAAGTTCCTAAAATGGTAAGATTCTTTTAGGAGTTATCAGAAGAATTGTGAAAGTGCTGCTCTCTTTCTTCCTTCCTTAGTCTCTCTCCATCTCTCTTGGTCATTGGGTTCCAGAGTCTCTTTGGAAATAATCAAACCCTTTCTAAGTAATTTACACATCAAAGTTAAGAGTTTGATCAATATAAGTCCTAAAACTGAGTAAATCCTCACAGTAATTGTACTATTATTTTTCCCATCGTAGAGCTGAGGAAACTGAGAACACAAAAAGATTTGAAGTATCCTGCCCAAAGTTACCTAACTAGTAAAGGGCAGAGAGAAGGGGAAGGGGAAAGGGAGAAGGGAGAACCAAACATGCGTTGTTGAATTGTTATAGAAGCACACCAGTAGACATTTGCTTAATGTATTTAAAGCACTAGAATTTTAATGAGGTTT
Organism: Homo sapiens; assembly: GCF_000001405.40. Classification (NCBI taxonomy): domain Eukaryota; kingdom Metazoa; phylum Chordata; class Mammalia; order Primates; family Hominidae; genus Homo; species Homo sapiens. The sequence continues at coordinate 49,630,756 of NC_000002.12, forward strand.
AATGAGTTGAACTAATAGTTAGAATTTCTAAATATATTGCTGACCATCTTGGTAGTTTTAGTTAAATATTTCTCAATTGCCTTGTTATATTGAACGAACATTTCTAGCCAAAGAAGTTTACACAGGAATATTTCATGTATTCTGTGCTTTCAAGGCTGTAGTTCTCACAGAAGAACAAATGGAGATATCTAAAGCATGAACAAAGAGAAAGGGGCTTCTTACTTGGGCTTCTTACTTTGAATTGTAGACATATACTCTTCTGTAATATTTAATGAACAGGAAATAGATTTGGTTTTGGAAAGTATGTATGAAAATAATTCTGCAAATGTTTTTAAAGGAAACATTCTCATTAATGCAGCTAAGGTGTTCTTGTTTGCTCCATTTCACAGCTATTCAGCTTTATTCTCACCCAGTGTGTGTGAAGAAGTCAGTTATAAAAAATGTTGTAAGTACCCTTATTTAGGGAAAAGCTAGCACAATATCATTCCCTTTTCTCCATCAACTCACCCACAAAACGATAACTGCAGCTACAAAGGTGTTTTAAAAATCTCAAATTGGACATCATCCAGAGAGATGCAATAATAATCCCCCTTTCTCCCCTTCAGTCTTCAAAACTGAGAAGTTGTGATTGCTCTAATATATGTTCCTGCCTAGCTACTTAGCCTAAGAATAAATGTTTCTTTATTCATCCTTTGGCTACTCTTCCCTACTTGGGGCAAGCACTTGGGACAAGAGCAATGTCCCCAAAAATGCTGCCTGTGGTCCTCTGTCAGAGCTCAATGATCATAAGGATTAATTTATTCTGACTGGCTTAAATTTACTCATATGGGTACATTTCATTTCAGTATAAAGTCCTCAGAAGGAAAGACCCAAAGAGGGTGTGTGAGTGTGTGTGTGTGCGCTATTGTCAAACATTTTTCTTTAATAAAAAATTAGTGAAACCTGTACAGAAAAATCCTTTGGATTCAAAAGTCAGGAGAGACTTGTTTCTGAGAGACTCAAAACCATTAGAAATCTGTAATGTTTTAGCTGCCAGATATATTGCGTATGCTTTTATCAACCAAAGTAGACATTATATAATTCGATTTATGTATTTTCCATGAACCTGAAGCTTCATTAGAAGTTTGTATTTGGTCAAGAATTTTTAAAATGTAAATTCTACCTTATTCAACAATCCTTTCTCTAGAAATATAATTCAAGTAGCTAGACTATCTTGGCTCAGGCTTCTAGATAGACTGTCTTAGGTCAGGCTTCAGAAGCAGCCTCTGAAACAAGAATTTATATGTAAGTGACTTCTTAAAGAAAATGCCCCAGGAGAAACTAGAAACATAATCAAAGAAGTAGAACAGAGAGAAACAGTCCAAGCAAGAGTGCAAAATCAGGCAATGACCCACCGCAGTGGTAGTGGCCTGATGACACAGGTGCACTCTGCGGTATAAATTATGTCCCAAAGTTTGTCCTGATCTGTGGCAAAGGACCTGGGCTTTAACATCCTGTGCCTGCATCAGTCAGTTGTTCGCTAAGGGTGCTCCATGTATGCAAAGCTACTTGCTCCATGTATGCAAAGCAGCTTCTGTGGCCCCAGGGCAGAAATCAGAAAAGTCACAATGCAAGTAGTGAAAGCAAAAGCACAGTGGAGATGAAAAGGGGCACACAGAACCTGCCGAAGGGATGCAAGGTTGATCTGAGCACGGTACTGAGAGTGTCCTCTACATACACCAAGGCAGTAATTAGAGGTAGATCTATTTACGTCTGAGTTTATTATCATTACTTGAGAATCCAAAAAAAGGGTGATTTGCTTTATTCACAGAGTGAAATACTATACAGATATTGAAAAGTTTTCATTAATTTATTCAACAAGCATTCTTTTGAGGTTGATATATTCCAGCTACCATGAATATATCACACAATACAGAAAAAAGAGTCTGCCCACAAGAGGCTAACACTCTAGAGGGGAAATAGACAACAAACAATAAGCAAAGGAGATGGAGAATGTAGAAGAAAATGGGTTATACAAAACAAAACAGAACCAGGCATGGTTAGGCAGGAGTTCCAAGGGTAAGAAGTATACATGAAGAAAGGAAAGAGATATTTTAAATTTAAAAGGTAATTGAAAAGGCTCAACTGAGCAAAGATTTGAAAGAGATGAATGAGTAAATATTGACACATGCATATCTGGTGAATTGTTTTTCTAGTCAAGGGAAACAGTACAAAGGATATATGTAGAGGAAACCTACCTGCTGTGTTTGAAGAACAGCGAGAAGTTTGGTGAGCCTGGATTAGGCTGGGTAAGACATAGAAATAATGTAAGTGACAAGGTCAGAGAATCAACAATTCCAGATCATCTACAGCTGAGTAGGTCATGATAAGAACTTTGGTTGAGGAAGATGAAAAAGCATTAGATCATTTGAGCACAAGTGTGACATGATCTGACTTACATTTTTAAAAGAATCACTCTGGCTATGTATTCAGAATAGATGGGAGCAAGGAGATCAGCTGGACACTATTAAAACAATTCAGGCCCATAGTAACAGTGAATTAAACAAAAAGGTAGCACTGGAGATAGATGAGAAGTACTGGATTGCGTTATGGATGTAGACCATAGAATTTCCTGGCATATTGGATAAAAGGTATGAGGGGAACAAGAGAAGTGTCAAGGAGGATTCACGTTTTCTGCCTGAGATACTGAAAAGCTACAGCAGCAATTAATATTACTTCAGTTCCCACTTGAAGAAACACTGGCCTTCCCATATCCATTGATCACATGACACAGGATTTCCTCTGAGAAGATATCGAGGTTTGCTGAAATTGTTGAGGGACAAATAACTCATGAAACAATCTGAAGTACCTAAATGAAGGCATGTATGAACAGGCTGGTACCAATCACTTATTGTCTACTCTTTGGCTTAGCCCTTTATTCCTTCTGTTTAGAGATTACTTCAGAATCCAAAAAAAGAATGAATTGCTTTATTCACAGAGTGGAATACTATACAGATATTTAAAAAGCATTTTCTTTAAGAAGTCACTTACATATAAATTCTTTTTTCAGAGGCTGCTTCTGAAGCCTGACCGAAGAGAGTCTATCTAAAAGCCTGAGCCAAGACTTGCCATAGCCTGAAAGAACTGCACCCTTCACCTCATCTTTGAACTTTAATCACATTAATTTTATTACTTCTGCTAACTTCCACTCATGGGAAATGGACTTGTATGTTTTCTATTATTTTAAAACCAAGTAAGAGACACAGTGTCTGTATACACATGGTGATAGAATGTGTAAAAGCCTGACTAGGATCCACCCTTTTCCTAATGTTTCCACCTGAATGTTCAATAGCAACGTCCTCTGTGAACGTAACTACCCTAACTCACATCTGGGTTAATTCTTCTTTTCCATCTTCCTTCCTATGGGTATCATTGTCTTGAGTTTTCATGAAACTAGATTTTCAGACAACAAATAACTCTATCTAGAAAAGACAATTAAAAAAGATGTCCTTAAAATGAATTCCTAAATCTGATTAAATCTATTACCAACCCAATTGGTGTCTGCAGCCCAAATTCAAGGTAATAGAATTAATAATTGGTCTACCTTTACATTCATGACCGCTAGTTTCAAATTACCCCTCAAGTCTACCCAAAAGTACTCCTCTTCAAAATCATTATTTTACATTTCTTCATCTCTCTCCAAATGCCCAAGACCTCCTTAGCTTGCTCCTTGAATCACTGGAAGAAAAATAAAAGCAACCAAATAATTGTCAAATCTCTCAAATGACTTGGATCTACAACCATTCTCTCTGACTTACCTCCAATTACAACAGTTCTCTAGTCCTTCTTTAAAGAGCAACTCCTTTACTTTTGTCCTGGATTCCACCCTTATCTGTCTTTATAAGAACTATTTTATTCAGTTATCACCTCTAATTTGTTGCATTATTAATTTATTTCTCTTTAATGGTTCATGCCCTTCAGTATACAAAATTGCTCCTGTAACTTCCTAACGAAGAGAGAATTCCTTAACATTTTTTGCTCTCATTCTATGTCCCATGTCCCTGCTCTCCTTCACAACAAAATCTATTTTTTTTTACTTTTATTTTAGTTTCAGTGGTACATGTATAGGTTTGTTATACAGCTAAGTTGTGTATCACAAAGGTTTGGAATACAGATTATTTCATCACCAGGTAGTAAGCGTAGTCACTCATAGATAGTTTTTCAATCCTCATCCTACTCCTACCCTCCACCTTCAAGTAGAACTTGGTTTCTATCATTCCCTTGTGTTCCTGTGAACTCAGTGTTTAGCTTCCCCTTATAAGTAAGAACATGCATTATTTGCTTTACTTTTCCTGCATTAGTTCACTTACAATAATGGAACTAGCTGTATCCATGTTGCTGTAAAGGACATGATCTCATTCTTTTTATGGCTGTGTAATATTCCATGGTGCATATGTGGCACATTTTCTTTATTTAGTCTACCATTGATGGGCATGTAGGCTAATTCCATGTGTTTTCTTTGTGAATCATGCTACAATTGACATACATATGCATGTGCCTTTATGGTAGAATGATTTATATTCCTTGGGGTATATACACAATAATGGGATTGCTGGGTTCCATGTTAATTCTGTTTTATATTCTTTGACAAATCACCAAACTGCTTTCCACAATGGCTGAACTAATTCAAATAAATTAGATAACTAATTTCCACCTGCAGTGTATAAACATTCCCTTTTCTCTGCAGCCTTGCCAGCGTCTTTTATTCTTTGACTTTTTAGTAATAGCCATTCTGACTGGTGGGAGAGGGTATCTCATTGTAATTTTGATTTGCATTTCTAATGATTAGTGATGTTTAGAATTTTTTCATGAGCTTTTTGTGTGTACGTATGTCTTCTTTTGAAAAGTGTCTGTTCATGTCTTTTGCCTACTTTCTAATGGGGTTGTTTTTTGCTTGTAAATTTGTTTAAGTTCCTTATAGATTCTGGATACTAGTGCTTTGTCAGATGTGTGATTTGCAAAAATTTTCTCCCATTCTGTAAGTTGTCCATTTACTCTGTTGATGGTTTCTTTTGCTGTGCAGAAGCTCTTTATTTTCTCACACCATATTCAAAAATCAACTCAAGATGGATTAAATACTAAAATGTAGAACCTAAAACTATAAAAATCCTGGAAGAAAGCCTAAAAATATTGTTGAAGAAGTTTTTGCACTAGATGTTTCTACTCCTTCACATCCCTTTCTCTTATTAATCCATCCAGCAGGGTTTATAAGCCAACCATTTCAGTGATGCTGCTTTTACCGTGGCCCATAGCAATCCACATCCTGTCACATCCATGTCCTTATCCAATCTTTCAGCACCATTCAAAGAAAGTATAACACTCTTCTTTCTTGAAACATTTGAGACATTTTCTTGTCTTCCAAAACCACACAGTTTTCCTCCTTACAACAGTGTCTTATGCAATTTCTCCTCCAGAGATCAATTTCAAATATTAGAATAACCCAGGGCATGTCTCAGTTCCATTCTCTTCCCTTAGTCATGTTACTGTTCTGTGGTTAGGTCTTGTGGGGCATATTTAAGGACAAACGTAGAAGCAGAAAGAATATGAGCAATTTTTTCATGTAGGTCTTATCTAGATCTAATTATTTCACTCATAACATTTCATAACATAGATTTCCTCACATAGCATTTCATTCTTTATTCTAGGATACTTGTGCAGCATGAAATATACATGATTGCACAGTATAATTATAAAATAAAAGGTTTTGAAAAGCTTAGTTCTATATACAGATGCTAAGAACATTACATAAGAGCAGAAGCAGACAAGATATTTTTATTTTTAAAAGGACAAATTCTTACCTTTTGAGACTCATAGGACAGTGGATTTCTCCATATTGGAGGATGACTATATATCCTAACACAGTAAAGATATATTAGCATCATTTGATGAACAAGGGAAAATGTTTAACCTGAAAAGTAGACAAAATACTGTTAAAAATAGGCATTCTATGTATTCTTCTTCCTCTCTTCTGATTTCAAGCAAGATAATGACAAATCCTTAAATTATTTATCATTGAGGGCTGGGTTCTCTTTTTCTTCTGTATTTAGCTCTGTTCTGCTCTTAGAAAAGAGTGAGAGAGAGAGAGAGTGTGTGTGTGTGTGGTGTATATGTGTGAAAGAGAAGGAGAGAATTTGATTTGGCATTATTGCCAATCAGTTAAAGAACACGGACATTCATTATTGAAGCTGAGTGAGAAGCATTCTTTCTTGCTTTTTTTTTTTAAAAAAATCTCTGATTCCTCCTAGTTCTTCCTGTGCCTAATCTCTTGCCTTCCTTTGTCAGTTTTACAAAGCTTATTTATTCAAAGCAGGGAAAAGGGTTGACCTTTCTCTCAATCCTCCCAATTCCTACTTAAGTCAAACCAATGCAAGAAACACATGGATGAGCTGGCAAGTGTGGAAGGAATGATGTGAGCCTACCAAATGAAAAAGGCAGAGACCATTTTGGAGATCACAGAACTGTTCCCATGAAACAAGGATCAGATAAACTCTACTGATTCCCTGGATGATATTTTTCTTACTCAAAATGATGAGCGTACTTTATCTTGGGATGCCTCAGGCAGCACAAGTGCTCTTATTCTTTCTAGGCTTTCTAAAACTTTTGCATCCATAAGTACTTATGTTCATACATTCCCATTTTCCATTCAATCCTGCTAATAAAACACATCTTTACTGGTATGGCTTTAGTGGTTCCTATTTTTTCTTTCTCTCATTAGAATGAAAGGCTTTTAGAGATATGTCTGATATTTCAGGGGTCTGGCTTTGGTAAGCATCTTCTTTATAGTGTCTTGGGTTGATTGGAAGCTGCATATTAAGCTTATTTGTGACCTCAAAAAGAAAAAGAAAAATAAGGCTCAGGATTGCCTTAAAATATCCATTTAGAACAATAGTCCTGGCAATTGTGGCTCTACACCTGTTCAGGAAGTGCTGAAATCTAGAGAGATCATCCCACACTTGAAAGTGCCTTTGCAAAATTATAACTGAGGAAATTATGACAGTGAAAGAAATCAGATCTAACCAACTCTATCTTGCTTCTAACCCTTAAGCTGTCTTTGTCCATTCCTGGGCATAGGCTGAACTAACTCTGGGAAGGAACGCAGCTCATGTTTTGACTCTGAAACAAAACTGATAATAGACCTTTCCCGAAAAGACCCCCTTCTTGCCTGGGGTCCAGTTTGCGTTTGTCAGACTAACAAATTAGCTACCAAATTAGAAATTACAATTTCAGGGTCATGCAGCCTCTGGCTCCAAGAGTCTGGACCTCCCCAAATTGTTCCTGGGGATAACATCACTATCGTAAAACTTATTATCAGTGCTTGAGACATTTTGCAAACCCTGCAGCTGACACCAGTAATCTGGCTCAACTAATTCTTCCATCCTACCCAGGAAACAGATGACAGCAAGAAAACCTCATTGCAACCCCCGATGATTCCATCTCAAACCTGACCAATCAGTACTCCTCAGTTCCTACGCCACTATCTGCCAAATTATCTTTAAAAACTTTAATTCCAGAATGCTTGGGGAGCTGATTTGATTAATAATAAAACTCCAGTCTCCCACACAGTTGGCTCTTCATGAATTACTCTTTCGCCATTGCAATTCTCGTCTTGTTAAATTGGCTCTTTCTAGGCAGTGGGAAAGATGAACCCATTGAGCAGTTACACACTTAGCTGCCCACAGGAGCAATGAGTGGGCCAGAGGGGTAAGGGCATATGTGTATGTGCTATGAGTGCTGATGACCAGGGCCTGGTGGAGGACACAGGCCTAGCTCCAGGGGACAGCAGCTACTCAGTACCAGTCAATTGTCATAATTAGAAATGCAGGCCCAGGTTGTCTTCTGCTCACATTTTTAAAAAGAAAAAGAAATATGAAATTTTCCATCAAAACTCCTGATAAAAAAAAGAATTAGCTTACATTCAATTCACTATAAGTCAGTTGAGAAGTGAGATCTTAGTTTTTCTTTTTTTTTTTTATTTTATTTTATTTTTTATTATACTTTAAGTTTTAGGGTACATGTGCACATTGTGCAGGTTAGTTACATATGTACACATGTGCCATGCTGGTGCGCTGCACCCACTAACTCGTCATCTAGCATTAGGTATATCTCCCAATGCTATCCCTCCCCCCTCCCCCCACCCCACAACAGTCCCCAGAGTGTGATATTCCCCTTCCTGTGTCCATGTGATCTCATTGTTCAATTCCCACCTATGAGTGAGAATACGCGGTGTTTGGTTTTTTGTTCTTGCGATAGTTTACTGAGAATGATGATTTCCAATTTCATCCATGTCCCTACAAAGGACATGAACTCATCATTTTTTATGGCTGCATAGTATTCCATGGTGTATATGTGCCACATTTTCTTAATCCAGTCTATCATTGTTGGACATTTGGGTTGGTTCCAAGTCTTTGCTATTGTGAATAATGCCGCAATAAACATACGTGTGCATGTGTCTTTATAGCAGCATGATTTATAGTCCTTTGGGTATATACCCAGTAATGGGATGGCTGGGTCAAATGGTATTTCCAGTTCTAGATCCCTGAGGAATCGCCACACTGACTTCCACAATGGTGGAACTAGTTTACAGTCCCACCAACAGTGTAAAAGTGTTCCTATTTCTCCACATCCTCTCCAGCACCTGTTGTTTCCTGACTTTTTAATGATCGCCATTCTAACTGGTGTGAGATGGTATCTCATTGTGGTTTTGATTTGCATTTCTCTGATGGCCAGTGATGATGAGCATTTTTTCATGTGTTTTTTGGCTGCATAAATGTCTTCTTTTGAGAAGTGTCTGTTCATGTCCTTCGCCCACTTTTTGATGGGGTTGTTTGTTTTTTTCTTGTAAATTTGTTTGAGTTCATTGTAGATTCTGGATATTAGCCCTTTGTCAGATGAGTAGGTTGCAAAAATTTTCTCCCATTTTGTAGGTTGCCCGTTCACTCTGATGGTAGTTTCTTTTGCTGTGCAGAAGCTCTTTAGTTTAATTAGATCCCATTTGTCAATTTTGGCTTTTGTTGCCATTGCTTTTGGTGTTTTAGTCATGAAGTCCTTGCCCATGCCTATGTCCTGAATGGTAATGCCTAGGTTTTCTTCTAGGGTTTTTATGGTTTTAGGTCTAACGTTTAAGTCTTTAATCCATCTTGAATTAATTTTTGTATAAGGTGTAAGGAAGGGATCCAGTTACAGCTTTCTACATATGGCTAGCCAGTTTTCCCAGCACCATTTATTAAATAGGGAATCCTGAGATCTTAGTTTTTCTTATTAACATGATGAATACTTTCTCAATAATTGAGCAAAAATAATCTAGCTAGAAGTCTAACATATGTAAGTCCAATACACCGGGAATAGAATTATGACATAGAGCTATATGAATTATCTAACAATTATTTTAAGAAAAAATGGAGCTCATTTTTGGCCTGGGAATGTTTATTAGAGGAGACAAGACATAAACTCCCTAGATTGAGAGAGAAAAAAATAAAAGTCAGCTCTGTGCCTCCTTGTCCAAACTCTCTAGGAGCAAGAGTTGGGGCATTTTTTTTTTTTTTTTTTTTGTAAAAAGGTTTTTCAGGCCATATGGTCTCTGTTGCAACTGCTTAAGTCTGTCACTGTAGCATGAAATCAGCAATGAATAATATGTAAATGAATACGCATGGCTGTATCTCAACAAAACGTTTATTTACGAAAACAGGCCTTGCCCACTTTTGGCTCACAGGCTGTAGTTTGCTGACTCCCTACTTTAAAGGAGGGCTGGAGTGCCTCAGTTGGAATTTCAGCTAAGCAGTTTTCAAAAGGAGGTTTAGTCTTGTGTGTCTGAGTTGCTTAAAGAGAAGGGTGAACACAAACTACAGCCACAGACAGTTCAAGTGAAAACCTGGAGACATCAAGTCTGACTTTGGGTGTAAAAATTAGGTATATCACAGAAGAAAAGAGGAAAAATATTAGAAACTAAACAAATGTGGGAAAGAAGTAACTAATGAGAAATAGAGCAATGGATGAGGCAAGAAGAAGTACCTACACTCATTTTGAATAACAAAAGGGATGGAATGTGATCTTCCTAACAGGTCCAAAGAAGCAGACACTGTCTTTATTCCCTACTATGAATATTATTAGGTTACAACAAGAAATAGTTTCCATTTTTCCATCATCGAAAACAGCTGGCAAAGAAAGGATATTAGATGGAATAGCAAGCCTGCAGAGATACACAAAGAGAAACAGACAAAAAATTTACAAGTTTTCAACTTTTCATCTGCATTAGTCCCACTTAGAGATGTCTGTGATGCAACTAACTAATCATCATATAACATCTAGCGAGAAGTTCTAATCAGGCTTGCTAGGCTATACAAGGTTGATTCCAACTCTAAGTTTATATAGCAGTTCTCCTTGCTAAAAAACACCTCTTCTCTGATGGGGCAAGATGGCTGTACTTCCGTGTGTCATGTTGTGTGCTCAACTGATCTGATGGATCAACCAGCTAAAGGAGAATTGATTTTATTGCTAGTTTTATATCAATAGTGTTTCAGAGAAGATTTTCATTTCACTTCACCCAAGACACTTTCAGGCATTTAAGCAAAATGCTTTTAGCTAAATGCGAATGATATAGAAAATGGCTTTTTTCATGAAATACTCAAAAGACTGTAACTTGTAGTTTCAAGGAGCATTTATTTCCATTTTACTTCTATATCTTCAGTAGATACTGTACTTAAAATTTGACCCTTGATTCACAGCACTGAACATGGGCTTCAGTGGGTGAAATAAATTAAAATTTTAAGTCCAGGCAAGAGCTCTTGGGAGAAAAATTGAAGGTCAGATAAGGTCGGGTAGCCTGGACCCCAGAATGAATGATAAAGAACTTAAGGGGACTTAAAAACAAGCTCTGACACATGACCACTTGGTATTGCTTGAACAAAGCAGTTGAAGAGGGCATGTGTGATATTTGTTAAAGGAGAAAGTACACATATTGCTGTTGTCATTTAGTGACTAGATGTTGTGGCCCAGGTGAGTTATAATTGAATATGTATTATTAAAATACACTAACGGACTTTTACTTGTTAGTTAACACATCTGCACAAATGCTATTTATCAACCACTGACTTTCTTGGAGATCATCTCTTTCCATTTAAATCCTTTATAAAAGGCATTCTCTACTCTCATCCCAGTTTAATGGGGGAAAAGATGATAAGAAGACTAACTTGAAATAGAAATGTAACTTAATATTTCAAAGCCCTTAGGTCTCTGATTAGACCATTACTCTGCACATAATCTCTTACTAAACTAAATTGATTCTTTTTCAATATAAAAGTAGTACAAAGCCTTTGAATTTTGAACTAGGGAAGTTCTGTGAGCTCTTTGAATTGCAAGCCAGTAAATAGCAAATCTTACTTAATTAATAAAATAATGAGATAGGGACGAAAAACATGATGTTAAGACACAGTAAGAATTGACTAGAGCTGCATTTTTAGCTGTAAATTTGGTGAGTAGACTTTGCTTGTGAGACAGGCAACATTAATTACTCTGTTACCATAGCAGATTCTGTATTAAAAAAAAAATTAAACTGCAAAGAAGTAGGAAAGCATCTGTGGGTGCATTCCTTTACACCAATAAAATAATTTTATTGAACTCTATTCATGTGCCTACTTAGAATTTAAATTCAGGAGATCTTATAGGCCTGTATTCATTAAATATTATGCACCATTTTATATGGGAATGCTCATAAAAGGGGAATGTGGAACACAATTAGAAGAAATAAATTCAGCATGGCTTTGGCACTCTATAAAATCTCCTTGTCACTGTGCGTCTGTAACTGACTCCTTATAACCAGGCACAACCAATACTCAGTGATTGGAGAATTTAAAAGCAGTTTGCTTTTAAAGTCAAAATTCACTATATTTCAAAATCTCACTGACAGCCTAGTTTCCATTCAACCACATGATCAAACTGACAAGATATGTATTTTATAGGTTTTTGTCTTTTTTTGGTCCTAGTCATGTTGGAAAACTAATATTGGTTACTGAATCTCAATTTTACTCCTAGCATGATAGTATCCTTGCCCTTATGACATTTCCATGACCCCATGTCCTCCTCAACTGAAGCCAAGCTTTTTCTTGTTCCACTTGTCTATTCCCCTACATCTGAACCTCAGTCCCTTTATCAGGTCATCTGCAGTCAGATACCCTTATCACAAACTGCCTGTTACCAAGATTTTTAGATTCTGTGCTTGATCAGGTCTTTCTGTTCTCACCAGATCCCTTACTTCTTCCCTTGATGCCCAATTTAAAAAACATTTTGGCCACTGTCAAATGTCGACAAAATATAACTTGATCTATTTTCAGCCACCACGTCATTTTTAAATTGTATTCTTTCTCAATGTGCATATAAACACACTATACCAATTCCTTCCTTACACAGTTGATCATTCCTTCTTCACTGCCATTGCTGCCTCTTGTTCCTTCTTTCACAGAACAAATATAAATCCCCTCAAGATTGTCTCTTCAATCCTCTGCTATTTCCTTTCTACATACTTCCCCTTAGACACCTCAGCTACTCCTATGGTTACAGCTGTCATCACTGGCAACTGACACCCACGTCAACATCTATTTACCATCATTTTCCTTAGGCACCCAGACTCAACGTTGAGCATCATTTTACATTTGCCAACTACTTTAAATTATCAGTAAGACCCATTTATTTCCTCTCACATTGTTTATTTACTCCTTTAGTGAAGACTTTAATATGGGTTTTTATTAACTCATAACTATATATTTACCTTAAACTGCTATTTTCTCACCTCTCATCTTCTTATATACTACCACAGAGTAAATCTTGCTAAAATTATCTGACTAAAGCTTCAATAGCTGCCCATTAATTTATAACAGCATTTACCAAAAAACGGGACACGTAACACTGGTTACAATGGAAAAAAGTAATTGGTTTTAATAGTTAAGTATTTTGTTCATAAGAAGTTTAATCATCACCTTAAACAATGATTTTATGGCTAATATTGCACAAGATGACTACAACATTTTTTTAATGAGCCAATTTAAAGAATGACTAAGTACAAAACAGTAGAAAAGCATGGCCAAAAAAATTGAGGTAATATTGACCCATTGAATAAAATCCGTCTGACTCAGTCTCCTCTACTATTTTCCGTTTTCAATCTTGCTTCCCACGATTTGACCACAGACATGTTCTCTTCTCAATAATCAATTTAGTGTTCTTTGAACATGGCATGTGCCATTTCATCATGCCAGTGAGGTTGCCACAGAGCAGTAGGACAGTAAACATAAGAAGTTCAAGGATAAATGTTTTAAGATTGTAAGTCCTCAGAAACAGGGCTCAAAGTAAAAGACGAAAGGGATGGAATAGGATATCAAGCTGGTGAGGCCAGCCAATAACACACACACGAATCAGTGAGCAAGGCTGTAAGCAAGAAGTTTCTAAACTGAATTACAGAGTGTGGTACCAGTTACAGTGAACACTCAAAATAATCATTCGACATGAAAATCTATTAATGCTTGGAATTCAGCAGAATTTAGGCCTAGCTTTTTCAAGACTCCAAATTCCCTTAGATTTTTCTATATCTGTGACTTGGCCCTGTTATTTTCTCAGCCTCTAGTTCCCCATCTCCTAATATTTAACTTCTAAATGCTACCAGGCTTTGATACGCAGCTCAACTTCTTTTTCTAGGGTTTCTTGTTTGATTAGCCAAACTAGAGTTGATACTTTCCTTATTTGAAATGTTATAGCATTTATTATCATTTCTAATCCTATGTCCTACTCATATCAACATGTTCTTCTTTATATCAAAGTGATTTGCATATATAACTTTTTATCTGTTTCTTTGAAAGCTCTTTACAAAGATTAAAAGTTGACTTGTATAAATAAATTCAGTAGTACCTCACCCATATTTTTTAAATGGCAAATTCTTGATATATAGGCTTTTTTGTTCTAGATCTGTAAGAAAACAGTTTTGCTTATGCAATGCTTAATATTTGTTTAATTTGTTTAATATTTAAGCAGAAGCCAACGATATGTCCTGCAATGTTTTGGAGGTTAGTGATGATGGTAAATGACAAAAATAACTGATTTGTGGGGCAGATGCTTGTGTTAGTGCTATTCAATGACTCCTACTTACAGGAAAGAGGGAGCAATGATAGACAGTTGCCTTCCTTCTTCAAAGAAAGGAATCTATCCGGATGGATGGATAGATAGGTGATATTTGAGACCATTGTTGTGTATCCAAGGAAATTTACCACATAGCTATTTCAAACCAAGTGGTTTAATAAAGTTTCCTTATGTAAAACATAACATCTATGTTATTTTATATCTCTAGAGCCACAGGAGATAGGAAGGTAGAATTATCTATCTATATATATTTTAAAAGGAATGTGGGTACATAAGAAGAGTTTAGTAGGAACATACCTGCATTAATATTACATTTCATCTTCTTATCATGAATGAGTTTGATCCAGATATCTACTATTCTTCCTGCAGAAATCTAAGATGACTCTGATTTTCAATATGTTAGCCTTCCATTTGACCTGTCTGTCATGAGTCATCACTCTAATCCAGATGATTAGACTCAAAAGGAAAAATATAATTTTTCAAGTTTCCCTCAAGAATTATCTTTCAATAAAGAGAATGAAGATTCCCTTTGAAATAAAACTGCTTTTACAAATGTCAACATTGGCAATGTATGGGAACATTCCCATAGCTGCTGCTATGCCTACTTCACTGGAAATTCCTTAGGCTTCAATATTGACCCAATCTTTGGTTAAATCTATCAATAAAAAATCAGCACCTATTAATCTTTCTACTATAGCTAATTATTATAGGTACGTTGAGAAAATTAAAAGTATAAAGATGATATTTCTTTCATATCCTGAATGAATGACTTTACAAGGTAATAGTAGGAATAAGATATACAATATGAAAGTGAAATTAAAACAAAATTACAATTAAAATTTCAGTGAAATATAACATCTAAATACATGCTAAAATGGGAAACAAATAATATAGACAATAAGTATCATGTGTCAGAGATTCAGAATAAAAACATCAATGTGGCTTGTATATAAAAGCCAATTTTATATATCCCCTTAATAAATAATTGATTGTTATCTACTTGTAAAATATAGGTTTTTAATAACTTCATTTTTTATTTTAGACTCAGGAGGTATATGTGTAGGATTGATACATGGGCACATTGCATAATGGTGGGGTTTGGGTTTCTAGTGAACCCATCACTCATATATGAATGTAGAACACAATAGGTAGTTTTTCAACACTTCCCTCCACCTTCTAACCCCCTTTTGCAGTAGCCAGTGTCTATTATTTTCATCTTTATATCCATCTGTACTCATTGTTTAGCTCCCACTTATAAGTGAGAATATTCAGCATTTGATTTTCTGTTTCTGTGTTACTTCACTTAGGATTACGGCTTCCAGCTGCATCCATGTTGTGCAAAGGACATGATTTCATTTTTTATGGCTGTGTAGTATTCCATGGTGAACATATACCACATTTTCTTTATCCAATCCACTGTTGATGAACACTTGATTCCATGACTTTGCTATTGTGAATAGTGCTGATAAACATATGAGTGCAGGTATCTTTTTGATAAAACTATTTATTTTCCTTTGGAGAGATGCTCAGTAGTGGGATTGCTGGTTTGAATGGTAGTTCTATGTTTTGTTCTTTGAGAAATCTCCACACTGTTTTCCATAGGAGTTGAACAAATTTACTTTCTCACCAGCAGAGAACAAGCATTCCCTTTTCTCTGCATCCTTGCCAACATCTGTTACTTTTTGACTTTTTAATCATAGCCATTCTGACTGGTGTGAGATGGTATCTCATGTGATTTTAATTTGCGTTTCTATGGTGATTAGTGATGCTGAGCTTTTTTTCTTACGTTTGTTGGCTGCATGTGTCTCTTCTTTTGACAAGTGTCTGTTCATGTCTTTTCCCCACTATTTAAAGGGTTTACTTGTTTTTGGCTTATTAAGTTTCTTAAAGATTCTAGATACTATACCTTTGTTGGATGCACAGTTTGTGAATATGTTTTCCCCTTCTATAGGTTGCCTCTGTACTCTGTTGATTATTTTTCTTGCTGTGCAGAATCTCTTTAGCTTAATTAGGTCCCAGTTAACAATTTTTGTTTTTGTTGCTATTGCTTTTAAGGACTTAACCATAATTTTTTTCCTAAGGCCAATGCCCAGAATAGTGCTTCTTAGGTTTTCTTCTAGGATTCTTACAGTTTGAGGTCTTACATGTAAATCTTTAATTCATCTTGAGTTAATTTTTGTATATGGTGAAAGGTAGAGATCTAGTTTTATTCTTCTGCATTTAGCTAGCCAGCTGTCCCAGCACCATTTATTGAATATGGAGTCATTTCCCCATTGCTTATTTTTGTTGGCTTTATCAACAATCAGAAGGCTGTAGGTATGTCACCTCTGACTTTTTCCATTCTGTTCCATTGGCTATGTGTCTGTTTTTGTTCTATTACCATGCTGTTTTTGTTATTGTAGCTTTATAGTATATTTTGAAATTGGGTAATGTGATGCCTCTGGCTTTATTCTTTTTGCTTAGGATAGCTTTGGCTATTTGGACTCTTTTTTCATTCCATATGAATTTAGGATAGTTTTTTTTCTAATTCTGTGAAAATTGATATTGGTAGTTTGATAGGAATAGCATTGAATCTGTAGGTTGCTTTGGACAGTATGGACATTTCAATGATATTTTTTCTTCCAGTCCCTGAGCATGGAAGTTTTTCCACTTGTTTGTTTTATTTATGAGTTATTTCAGCAGTGTTTTATAGTTCTGCTTGTAGCGGTCTTTCACCTTCTTGGTTAAATGTATTCCTAGGTATTACATTATTTTATTTTTTGTGGCTATTATAAATGGAATTGTATTCTTGATTTGGCTCTCAGCATGACTGTGATTGGCATATAGAAATTCTATTGATTTCTGTACATTGATTTTGTATCTTGAAACTTTACTGAAGTTATTTATCAGTTTTAGGAGCCTGTTGGAGGGTCTTTAGGGTTTTCTAGGTATAGAATCATATCATAACAAAGAGAGATAACTTAACTTATTATTTCCCTACTTGGATGACTTTTATTTCCTTCTCTTGCCTGGTTGCTCTAAGACTTCCAGAACTCTGTTCAGTAGGAGTGGTGAGAATGGGCTCCTTATCTCATTCCTATTCACAAGGGGAAATGCTTGCAGCTGTTTTCTGTACAGTATGATGTTGGCTGTGGATATGCTATAGATGGCTCTTAATATATTGAGGAATAGTCCCTTGATGCCTAGTTTTTTGAGTGGTTTTATCATAAAGGGATAATGGATTTTATCAAAGCTTTTTCTGTGTCTGTTTATTTTTCTCCTCTTATAGAGTAAAATGCAAATTCTTTAGTTTGGAAATCTAATCAGATTCTACTTTCCTAAATTTACTTCTCATTACACTGCTGTCTACTCTTTATAATATGCCCCATGTTTTCCCAGTCTTTGTTTATGCTGTTCCCTCTGTCTGAAAATCTTCCCTGCT
Source organism: Homo sapiens (assembly GCF_000001405.40). Taxonomy (NCBI): domain Eukaryota; kingdom Metazoa; phylum Chordata; class Mammalia; order Primates; family Hominidae; genus Homo; species Homo sapiens. Next base: position 49,648,334 of record NC_000002.12, read on the forward strand.
CTTTACTTTCACATCATCATTTCAGAACATCCAAATCTTTATCTTATTATTAAAGATGCATTTTAAATACTTTTCTTATAAATCCTTCATTGATCCAATCCAGCTTAAGGTGCCCCCTTTCTTCTGAAATCAGGTCTTATACTCTGAATGAGGTATTTCTAAGGAGAAGCAAAAATTCTAGGGAGCCAAAGAAGACAGAGGCTATTTTCCTTCACATAAGAATCTGTAACAGAGTTCTGAGACATACAGGCATTGTATTATGCAGACAGTATGGTGCCTTTTTGTGTGTCTTAAGCATTTCCTCTGTGAGTTTTATATAACATAGCATCATATCATTTTTATCCTTCATTTCTGCAATATTATTCTCTGCACTTTTATAGTTGCCTGATGAAACTTTAGCAATTTCAACCTTCCAAGTTGATAGCCTATGGAAATAAGTGTCAATACTATCCTCTTTTTACAAGTCATGTTCATAGAATGGGCATAAAACATTTGAATATTTTGAACTATAATAATGTGAACATACATTACGCATTTATATATTTTAAGCTTCAAACACCACTATGATAAATAACATAAATCACTGTACATTCACAACATATTCAAATAAATCATGATTATCTAAAGTAATTAAGGAAAGGACAATTGTAATTACATCTTTGGAATGAAATGGATTGGTATGTGATCCATCATTTTCTAAAATTTGGAGTGAGAGGGTCTTAAAAATCAAGAGCTTAATTTTTCTGATTGTTGCAAAGAAGTGCTAGGCATACCCAACCCCAAAATCCAGAACTTTCTCTCTCTCTGACAAAACATCAAAAAACAATCTTAATCAGAAAATGTCAAATTTTTAGTTCGGCTTAGAACTTAAAGCACATGGAATTTTCCTCTAACATAAAGATACTGTTAAAAATTGGTTTTCTTGATTTTCTATTTGTGCTTTTATGCCCAAAAGTATATCCTCACAAAACCTCTTACTAAAAGAACAAGTTTTATGATGTTGAAATTTGGAACATTGTAACGATTTTTTCATAGTCACTCCATTTATTTTCGTGTGGTTATTCATGCTGTGGCCCACCTATAATTCCCCCCCCCCCGATTTCTATCTGTTGCAGTCATAGTCATTCTTTACAATCCACATAGCTAAGATAGTGTTACCCAACTCTATGAGACGTATTACTGTATAGAGTACTGTCGAAATTATTTTAATCCTTGATTTTCCTGTTATTAGCAGTGCTACTTTGGACAAACCGCTTAATTTCAGTTTATTTCTAAAATGAGGAATAAGGCAAGTTGTGAGGGATAAAATAATGCTAAGGACTTATTGGAAGGCTGGGTATGTAGGTATGAGCTGAGCAAAAATTAGTCTTTCTTCCCGTTTTGGCAGCTAAAGAGAATGCTTAGCCACCCTTGTATCCTCCGTTCTTCATACCTTCCAAGGTTCTCCTATGAAGGACTATTCCTGGGCTTTTGCAATGGAGAGTCAGGTAGAAAGGAGGAGGAAAAGAGGACTATGGGAAGCACACTGGTAAAAGGGCTGGAAGAATTGGGGCAGGTTTGAGGATTTAGGTATAGAAGCAGCTACTTTGTGTAAGGTCATTGAATAGGAGGGAACACAGAGAGAGTTTTAGAAATTTGATAGTTGAGTAAGTGTTCTCTTCAAAATGTTTGAACAACACTAGAGACTAGTTATTACAAAATTACTTTTGACATAGAAGCCCACTTAAAAGAACTCCCAATGGCTAAAGCTGTAACAGTTTGAGTAAAAAAATAAATAGTGATAATACTAGATTATAACCCACAGAATAAAATAAATATTCATGAGCCCACTGTGTAATAAATATGCAATCAAACAAATAAATAAATGGTGGATCTTGCCTCTAGCAATTATTGCTGTCTTACAGAAGAATCTTAATTAATAAATGCAGAAGAAATAAGGAAAACATATGAATGTTAAAATTATGGGCAAAAGTTTGAAAAGAAATAGAATATTTGCAGATAGTTTCTAAATTAAAAAGAAAAAAATGGTAAGTCTACTGCTGAAAAGCCCAGAAGGAAGAGATCTATCTTAAGCAAGAGATCATTATTAACATCACCGGTAGTAACAAATTGACATCACGTACCTCTTAATATAATGCACTAAGAAGAGTATATTACTTATGTGGCATTCTTGCTACAAATGGCAAATCCTCAATCTAATAATGAGAAAATAGCAGAAAACTCCATGTGATGGGCAGCCTACAAAATAATTGTCTAATATTCTTCAAAAGTGTCAAGGTAATGAAAAACAAGGAAGACTATGCAAATATTACAGTTTGAAAGAGACTAATAAGACATCATAATGAAATGCTCTTTGCCATCTTAGATTGGTTCCTGAAACAGAAAAAAGACATTAGTGGAAAAACTGATGAAAACCAAATAATAAAGTCAGAGGTTTAGTTAATAGCATTGTGCTGATATTGACTTAATTTTGATAATTGCACCATGCTATGTAACAGTAACATTAGAGGAAGCTGGGTGAAGGATATATAGAAACTATATTATTTTTGCACCTTTTCTGTAAGTCAAAAATTATTTCAAGCTAAAAACATTTAACAACTATTTTGGCTGAATCAACTATATATTTGGTTTACAACACTGTTCCGGGATGAAATATGTTGGTGCCATTAATTGCCCTCTTTACTTCTCAGAGGCACAAGCATATTTATCATTAAGCAAATAATCCTTAAACTTTAGGTCAGTCCCCTAATTTGCTCGGGGCTCTCTCAAGACCATATATTTAATGTTGAATTTATAATTTTGTATTACTGTCTTAACAAAAAGATCCTTTCTCATATTTTATAAGCTTCAAATCTCACTAGAGATCTGTCTCTGCCAGTTAGCAAAGGAAATTCAAAGATTGGTTCCAGGATGGTAGGGAGGGAAGGAAGCTTAAACCTTGGCTAAAATAACCAATCTAGATGTAGGACCAAGTATCATGGAATGGCCAACTACCTAATTAAACGTTTGAAATAAGCATGGTAAACCATGCTTACACAGACCAGAGGTCATATTCGAGAGATCCCATCACACAGGGGAATAATATTAGCTGCATGGTATTAAAAGTGAGACAGGTAGCAATATTTGTTTGGATATTTTTCTACTATTTAGAAGAAGCAGCCCAGTCAAAATGAGGAAAATGAGGGATAGAGAAGGAGTTGACAACAGTTGGGTGAGATTCCAATTAGGAGTCAGTGGTAGAGCTCTAGATCTAATGAAGATAAGAAGTCCTAAGTGGTAAAGAGAAACATCCCAGTAAAAGAAATAGGAAAGTTGTGTTTTGGTAAGTGTGAGTTTTCCACACCCTTTCAAGTAATGAGAATGGGATTAGAATAATGGAGCAAATTTCAGACTATTCTCTGGAAATGGAGCTTCTAATGTTCTTTATGTCCTGACGAGTACAGGTGTGAGAAAAATGAAAATGGGTCTTCAGGTAAGTGTAACATAATTAAGAAAGCATAAATTCTAAATAAGTAGGATACTTTTTCCCATAGCAGAGGCTCAATAATTTTGGTTTGATTATTATCAAAATATTCACTAACTCTTTCTTGCTAACTCGAGTATTTTTATGTATAATAATTAAAGTGATCATAAGAGTAATAATACAAACATACGTACCATTTACAGAGATGGGCTACAAGCTAGACATTCTTTAGGGGCTTGTTATTTATAATCTTATTTACTTAGAATGACCTTGTTTTTTCTTTCCAAGACTTGATGACATTTGGATCTCTAGAAGTAGGGAGGAGAGCAGAGAAGTTTCTGAAGAAACCAGAAGAGAGAAAAAAAAAAACAGTAGAATTGTGAGAATCCAAGGAGAAACAGTAAAGCCAAAACTGGGAGAAAAGGAGAGGTAATTTACAGCATATTATTAACTTGTGATTACTTTGCTCTATATTTTGTGATGCATTTTATCACTCTGGATAGAATATAAACTTCTTAAAGACAAGACTAAAACCCAAACACTTAAACAGGCATCAAACTATTTTCAAACTATTTAACCCCTAAATATTACTGGTTGACGTATAAACTTGCCAGCTGTTGACTTTGAGGTTGAAGAATCTGAGATGAAATACTGAAATTGATTAAAGAGGCCAAATGCCACATTTTAAACTCTACTTATTCATAATAATTGTTTTTTGCATATCAAATATATATGCCAGAAAATTGAGTTCCTCTGATTTCCCTAATTTAAAATAAAAGATTAGAATCATAAAAATTATTTTGGGTGGCTTTAGACAAATGTGTGGCTAGAATCAACCAGCCTATGAAGAATTCACTTTTTTTCCCCTCTACTCTTCCTTCAGACTGAGATTTTTGAATATCAGATTTTAGCCTGAAGAGACTTTTTCTGTAGTCAAGTTATAGATTCTGACAGGAATCAGTTAACCACAGAACTGATAGATACTTATCTCTAATACTGCTTGTGGGTACCACTGAAAATGCCAAATCAGTTAAAATGGCAGCAGCAAAACAACTTACTATATACAATCTCTTTACCAAGCTTCAGCAGAAGTAAAATGTGTAGGGCTGTTTTCCTTACTAAGCAGAGCCCATAATCAAGGAAGCCCACAGGTAGGTGTAGGGAGACATAACTTTCTATATGCTCACCACTGAAGCAGGAGCTGCCTGAGGTTCCATTGAATAATTCAGTGTTTGGAACTCCTGGGTGGTGAATATCTTCCAATAGAAACACTCAGCAGAAAGAACTGGGAACTCACACGCTGTAGATTTTCTTTAATGGTTTAGCCAAGTATCACACGCAGCAGACATAACGGTGTTTAAACAGTCTGCCCAGCCTACTGGGTCTTTGCCTTTAGGTAGCAAATATTCTCTTAGTCTTGTTACTTTTTCCTCTCCATATAAGAATATTTAAGGACACAAACCACACACTCTTTTCAGCTACTTGTCCCCATGTAGGCTTAAAATAGCACCAATATATAATGCTAAAATTTTACAACTGACTATTTGAAACATAATTGTTCTATGCATTGATGTAAAGATAAATACAATGATTTTGCAATACGATGTGATGTTATTTACTGTAACTTGATCCAACTTAATACACTGGTTAAATATGTTGCAACCAAGTGGAATTACCTCATATAATACTATGTCAAGTTTGGTTAATAATCCACTTACCGTAAAGAAAACCGATTCTGTGAAATTGTACAACAAAAAATCTGCATAATCTCTTAGATATGTACAGAAATCAATGAGATTTGGGAAATAAAGAAAAATAATGTTATATTTCTCTTTTCTTGTAGTTAAATACTTCAAACAATTAAAATCATTACAGTATTTGCTTTCTTTGAAAAAAGATTTTTAAAAAATTTTAAAGTTTTTGTATAGACAGGGTCTCATTATATTGCCCGTGCTGGTTTTGAACTTCTAGCCTCAAGAAATTCTCCTACCTCAGCCTTGCAAAGTGCTAAGATTACAGGCATGAGCCACGCTCATATTAAAAAGGTTTTTTTTTGGTTTTTTTTGTTTTTTTGTTTTTTTTGAGATGAAGTCTCACACTGTTGCCCAGGCTGGAGCGCAATGGCGCAATCTCGGCTCACTGCAACCACCCGCTCCCGGATTCAAGTGATTGTCCTGCCTCAGCCTCCTGAGTAGCTGGGATTACAGGTGCCTGCCACCATGCCTGGCAAATTTTTTGTATTTTTTTAGTAGAGATGGGGTTTCACTATGTTGGCCAGGCTGGTCTCGAACTCCTGACCTCATGAACCACCCGCCCTGGCCTCCCAAAGTGCTGGGATTACAGGCGTAAGCAACCACGCCTGGCCTAAAAAAATTTTCAACTTGGATAGCTAACACTATTTTGACAAAACCTCTTCAATCATAAGCATCCTATCCGATTATCATTTGGATATTCAATAAATTCTTTTAAAGTGGTTGCGACTTCCTTTCATATTCAACAATAGAGTACTATGTTGGCAGTAGAGATAAAAGAATCAGCTAATCTGGATTAGTCCAGTTGTATTTCTGATTTGAGTCCTGCACTTTATGATAAAAGAATATTTACTGTAATTTTTAACAGTAAAGAATCAGTCTTAAGGAAAGGCAGGGTGATTACCTTTATTGTCAGGAATGCGTTGCTGACTGAAAATATCAATCTCTCCTCTCTCATAGTTTTTGCAAGCCTGTGCTGTTATATTTTTTTAATCAGGTAAATAGTAAAGATAACAGTTCTCCTGTATCCAAATGAAAGTATTAGTATTTACAGTAGAGAATTTCAATGGAGAAGCCAACTGAAATCCTTTCTTGTTCAAGACAGGGTACAAATAATATGCATAAACATCAATAGGGATTTGTTTGTTATATGTGTGTCTGAGTGTGGAGACTAAGGGAAGAAGCACGCTGATATTCGGTGCTAAAGACATATTGTTTGATTGATATGGTGCCCTATGGGCGTCTCATTAAGTTGTAGACAACCTATGCTTTAAGCAGGAATTTCAACTTGTTTATTTGCACTGGGCAGACTGAAATATCTTTACCACTTTAGGTGAGACTCAAGGCACTGCCACATGTGAGCAGTCTGAGAGAAATGGACTAACAAATCACAGAACAGTATAGAGAAATGAAGAGTATAGACTTTAGTGACAGGAAAACACACAATACCAACAATCTGGGTTTGATTCGTGGCTCTGTTTCAGCCTAGCTGTTTGTCCTCAGATAAGCCATTCAACTTCTCAGAAGCTCATTTTCCTCTTTTGTAAATGGGAATAGCAGGTTATCTTGGAGAATCTTTCTGAGGATGAGATGAGACAAGGTTTTGAAAGTACCTGAGCATATATTAGGAATTCAAAAAGCTATATTCACAGACATGATTAAGTATCTTCAATCACATAGGTTTTGTTTACCCTCTTTCATACTACACATAGCTATTTCATTTTTCTCCCTTTAACTTGATTTTACTTCATAAATCTCTCCTCCACCACCCCAACAGATGTGCTGTTTAATCAAACTAAACCTGTCTAATTCCACCTTATGTTATAAATCATACCTAACCTGTCTAAAATCCTTTAACACATAATGGCTTCCCATAAGCTTTTCAAATGAGTAAATCCAAGACACTAATCGAAAACGAACTTGTACAACAGAGTAGATCTCCGCTGCTTCACAGAAGGGGAGGGTGCAGGTCTCCTTGAAGTGCAAGCTCTTCATTTACAGTGAGTTTTTTAAAAAAACTACTAAGAATAGAGTGGAAGTGTGCAGAGCCATGTTTCTAAAAGCTTGGGCTATAGAGAATGCACTGCTGTCTCGGTGCAGAGTTCGGATGCCAGCAAAATGAGCCAGGTCATTGTACTAATTAGGACTGCTCCTGCATGCACTAATATATCATGAAAAAATAGCAAGGATTACAAGAGAGCTCATCTTCTCTTCTACACATTCTCAGGGCAAAAGTTACTTCTAAATAATGACAAAGGAGTCACACAAACTGACACAGAAGAGGTTCTCTTTGTTGGGATAAATTGGCTTATATCCTCCTTCCCTTTCCTGCAATCTAAAGGAATATTGTGAAACAAGTTGGATAACAACAATAATGACTTGTTTAATGAAGAGCTCATAATAGTGTGAAGTGACATTATATATTCTTTAGTCAGGCAACCTGGCATGTGTTGGCATATGCATGTAGCAAAAAGACAATAGTATGAATAATAATTTTTTTTAACATTATCTCAGTCACTGGAACCATTTGTTATAAAACCTAAAGAATACATTGCTTGTTTTCAAAGGGAAAAGTAAGGCAATATTCCAATGAAAGAAAGTGTACTGGATTGTTTTTCTTTAAGGCTATACAAGGAAATTCTCCCTTATTCTTCATGCTACCTACAGATGTAAGTACTAAACATATCATCTTAACTGTTGATAGAGAATTACAAGTAATGTGACTTTAAACTGTAATGAGATTCTGTTAAAAAATAAAATCATCACACTCTTTTTGCTCTTTTTGGCCTGGGTACAAGCCTTTTCAGTAAATTAACTAATTTTGGCAATTTTCTAATCCCATTATACCTTTGTCAGGAGAATGATTTTTCAGAATTACAATGCCTAATGCTGTATATCTTGTGAAATATAGTCATCCAGACCAAGACAGTATCATCATTTGACTCTTTCAATATATGATATTTTCATTAGTAGCAGGATATTCATGCCTTCCCCTCTACTCAGCAGGGCTATAAATAGAGAGGCCAGCCAACCAAATCACACAATATTGAAAAGGTCAAAGAAGTACAGTATATTACTATAATTTACGGACTACTGTTCATGATGTATTATAATTCTTAACAGTTTATTTATGTGCAAAGAAAATAATAAAAACATAAAGCAGTGTGGAATGGTCATGTTATTATTGCTGTGATTATAGAGATAGTAGTTAATGAAGCTTTCCTTTACACTTAAAAACCGAACATACGGGAAGGTCTATTTATATAGTCAATAACAAAATTAAAGCGGTACTTCCTTCTATTAGATTGATATAGAATTTGAAAGTGAAGAAAAGGAAAGGAAAATATGAAGAAAAGAAGCACACTAGTTAAGACAAAGGCATAGTTTATTTTCCTAGTCCCAGAAAAAACTAAAACTTATAATCTATTTAGCAGGGCTGGAAGAGACCATCTCTAAGAGCACCTGTTTCCGATTAGGCATAGATGGTTTAATTTTATATGGTCATATCTATGATTTGGCGTCAACAAAAAATGAGATTAACAATGTAGATACAAGTCTAATTCAAGGTTTTTGGTCTTAGTAATTCTTGCTTAAGCTGTCAGATTACTTGCACTGCTGGGTTAAAGTTAAGCCAAAAAGACAATTGCTCATCTGCATTTAAGCAAATGATATTTGTGGGAAGTGACTGTACAACTTCATAAACGAGATGTTAAAATCTAAATCTTATTGTTTAGGGAAAAAAGAGCTTAGATTAAGGACAGCCATATTTAAAACCTTTCAATACCCTTTTTTTTTCCCAGAATAGTTATCTGAATATAAGAAATTCTACTGTATCAAGATATTTCTTGCCAGATATTGTGTAAGGTGCTACAGATAAAAGAATGCACAATTCCCAAATTTATCATTTCTCTTCCTTTTCTTTTTTTTCCTCTTCTTTTATAGCATTCAAACACCTCCAACTGCCATTCATGACCCTTTTTGATCGTACTCTTGCCAGTCTCTCCAGCTCTGTCTCCTATCAGGCCCTACCTCAGGGTCACAACAGCAGCATCAATCAGTTCACAATGCCGTGAAACTATTTTTATGGGGATGGTGTAGAAAATCTTCACAAGAAGTCTGATCTTCCCAGTTCCTGCCACAATACCATTTTTTTTCTTCTCAAGAGAATGTAAACATTAAATTATAGTCCTTCTTCCAATTAACATCACTGGGCCTTCCTTATTTAACACAGAAAAAGGTACAAAAATTATTTTTAAAAATTACTGCCTTTGTCTCGAGGTAGAATAATAATCCATGTAAATCCTCTCCTTAAATCTGTTGTCGTGTGCTCATCTCTTCAATATATTTACCAAATTAAAAGGAGACAGAGAAAGAAAGAAAAAAAATTAAAGATGAAAGAAAGGAAAATAAATGAAGGAAGAAAGAGATGGAAGGAGGAGAAAGAAAGTAAACATCTCAGACGGATGAATCTAACAGGGGTTTTCTGTGGCATTAAGCCACTGGCTTGATTCGATTCATTATGACTATGTAAACAGTGACATTTAAACACTTTAATCAGAGGCCAGAGGATCCCTTCCACTTTCTGGACTAGAGAACCATCACCTGGAATTTTCCTAGAAAAATGATCTGTCATTTGATACCAAAAAATAAAAAAATCTGTTTTCTGCTCCCAAATGTGAGTGAAGAATACCAGTTCTGCTAATTAGGACTGTGTGGAAAGTCGAAATGACTCCCTTCTAGGCAGAGCACATAAAGCAAACTAGGAGTATCTAAATATTATTTTTTTTTGTACTTTCCATGTCATTATGATGAAAAGATCAGAACATGGCAACAGTATGAGAGGGGATGCAGTCTAAAGTTGGTCAGATACCCTGACCATCCCATCTAAAATGCCATCCCTGGTCTTCTCACATCTTATGTATACTTTCTTTCACTTTCTGGAATGTAATACCTGGAATTACATAACCATTTGGTTATTATCCAAAATAATTTTGTATGATGGAAGAGAGCTTGTTTAGACATATATTAGAGATGTGATATCATATATTCTTCTAATATTACTGTCTTTATAATTGAAGATAAATTTTAAAAATAGCAATAAAGGAAATAGTAATATCTTCATTACTCAGTTATTAATAAGGATGAACGACTTTTCCAAAACTGACTATCTTCCTCTAATAGAATGTAAGTACCTATACTATATTGGTAACTTCTGATCCCTGGTGCTTTAATCAGTGTCTTTCACACGATAGGTATTTAAATAATATTTGTTAAGTAAAGGAATGAATCCTACAACTCATTGTAATGTTTTCTGCCTCCACGCTACTGCAATATTATTTCCTTGCTCTGGAAAGCCTTTCCTTTTCTTCATTAATAGCTGGGATTCTAATTTGTCAATCAAAACTCAACTCAGTAGTTGCTCCTTCTATGACCCCATCCACTGTTCATTATCTTCTTCTCTATGCCTTCTTTGTGCATAAGTATGATGTATAATGGTGCACATAAAGTTGAATTCTACTGTGTGTTTACTTGTTTTTAAAAGAATTAAAACTCTTAAGCTAAGCTAACCCTCTCAGTCATTGTATTTTTGTCCAGGGTAACTATTCCTTTCGGATGGCCTAAAACAACATCTATGTATGCCTATTGTCCCCACTGAACTATTTATAGCACCCTGTGATGGGTAATACTGTCAATTTGATTGCATTGAAGGATACAAAGTATTGATCCTGGGTGTATCTATGAGGGTGTTGTCAAAGGAGATTAACATTTGAGTCAGTGGGCTGGGAAACGCAGACCCACCCATAATCTGGGTGAGCACAATCTATTCAGCTGCCAGGGCAGCTAGAATTAAGCAGGCAGAAAAATGTGAAAAGAGAGACTGGCCTGGCTTCCCAGCCTATATCTTCCTACCCTGCCGGACGCTTCCTGCCCTCAGATACCGGACTCCAAGTTCTTCAGTTTTAGAACTCAAACTGGTTCTTCTTGCTTCCCAACCTGCAGACAACCTATCGTGGTACCTTGTGATCACGTGAGTAAATACTTAATAATCTCCCCTTTGAGTATATATCTATTCCATTAGTTCTGTCCCTCTAGAGAACTCTAATACACACCCCTTTTCATTCCAAAACATTCCCTGTTTGGAGGATTAATTATGTCATCACTAAACTCTTGAAGGTACTACCAATTGAAATGCTAAGCAGTCCTACAAAACACCTCCCATCCTGTTTGATCACATCTTGATTTTTCTGATCTCCATCTCATCTCCCTGGTCTCACAGGGTCTCAACTCAACCCTGGTTCTTGCCTTCCTGGGTATTGGAGTATATACTTGTAGTTTCTGGCTGATCTCACTCACCTTTCATGTTGGGAATTCTTTGCTTTAATCTGGATTCTACAGGGCTTTTTGCTGTTCTGGCTCCTTAGCAGAGTTTAGGTAGCTGGGCTAGTCTTGACCTCATTTTGGAGAGGAGAGGAGGGCCCAGATAACGCATCCTTATCTCTTACCAGATATTGCATTGTTCTTTCTCTCCACAATACTAGGCATATTTCCTAGCACACAGTAGAGACCCTAAACATCTATTGGATCAAATCTAGTACCTCAGAATGTGATCTTATTTGGAGCTAAGATCTTTATGGGGTAATCAAGCTAAAATGAGGTCATTAGGGTGGACCCTAATTAAACACAACTAATATTCTTACAAAAAGGGAAGTTGGACACAAATACACATAGAGGGAAGAGCCATCTATTAGTGAAGGAGAAAGGCCTGAAACAGATCCTTCCTTCACAGTTTGCAGAAAGAACCAACCCTGCCAACACCGTGATTTTAGACTTCTAGATTCCAAAAGTGTAAAATAATAAATTTCTGTTGTTTGAGCCACCCTTTCTGTGGTCCTTTGTTAAGGCAGCCCTAGCACATTAATGCGAACTCCAGTGTATTTTCTCACATATAAAATGGAGAGAGTAATACTACCTTAGAGTTTGTGTGAGGATTAAATGAGATAGTATATGTAAAATGCTTAGCAATATCCAGTATATTCAATAAATGTTAGCTGTTATTGTTATTATCTGAAGTTTCCTTGACTAGGCACTGCATTCCTTGCTAATTTGTTCTTATGAGTTATTTATTAACCTCTTATCTAAGTTTTAAAAATCTATTTTCCTGATTATTAGAATATTTTATTTCCCCTTTTATGCTTAAACATATTTTAGTCATATATTTAAGCTTCTAAGCTTTATTTTCGTTAGCTAAATTCCATAGCCCTATTTACATGTGGAACACACTACAGGAGAGTTGAGGTAAGAGACATGTTTAATAATTCAAGTACATCAGTTACTAAATGACATGCTCTTAACTGCTGTATACCATAGTTATGCAAAATATCTCAAAATGTGTGCCTTTGAAGAGTGAACCCCATTCACTTCTCAAAATAATTTTGTCTGATGCAGAAGAGCTGGTTCAGATATGCATTAGAGACGTGATATTAAGAATTCCTCTAATATGACTGTTTATGATAATAGAAGATAACTACAATGCATTTTAAAGCAGTAAAGAAACCAGTAATATATTTCTTCAGGTATTAATAAGGATGACCCACTTTGCTAAAATTGAAATGCAGAAGTGCATTTTAGATATAAAATAATGTGAATGTTTTAAAGAGAATGGTATCACATTTTGGAAATTTAGAATTCAGAAGAAAAAAAAAATATTCCTAGCATCAAAATTCTACCTTTTGAAACAGACCAGCAGAGTGGCATTAAGTATCTCTACAGGGTATTACAGTGATCTAAAACATTCAATTGGCAGTTAATTTGTATATGAGGAATTTCTTTAAAGTGGCAATAATTTTTGGAAATTTTGCTTTTAAGCTAATATATTCTATTCACATGACAGTGATCACAGACTTGCTTTTACCAGAACAAGTTGTACCAAGAGTTGTGGCCATCGGACTTTGGAGAGTGCTTTAGACATGAGAGACAGTGATGTGTTGGAGACTTCACTTCCAGTCAAGAGCATGGGTTGTTACTCCCACTGTTACTTGCTTGTTTCAGGAAAGTAGCATAAGCACTTTTTGTATCAGTTTCCCTGTTTGATTCAACAGAGAATAATATGTGTCCTGTTGATATCAAGATTGTTATAAGTAATAAATGAGGCAATGTATGTAAAATCCATGGGATATTTCACTTTGATCGGTAAACATAGTTTATCAAGACAAAATCTAGCTCTCATCTGCATATACTCCATGCCAACCCAATTTCTCTGATTGTTGTTATAAAAAGCAAATGAAGAAAAGTTTTTAAAATTATTATATGAAGCTACAATTAGAAGCTATTATTTTATGAAGACTCACTGGCAGTAGTGGGGGATAGTTTAATGGAGGGACTGTTTGCTTTCTTGGATGAACCATTTTCTCACTCCTGGAGCCATTATGTGTGTTGAGCAGTTGGTTCATGTGATGTTTTATGCTGAAATAGCAAATTAGTATTTGTATTGGTCTCTACAGATAAAACGTATTCTAACCCCATTAATGGGATTATTCCCACTGATGGATTTGTGTTCTAAATATTATGAATTTATCTTCTGTGTCTGGACACTAGTGATTTGGAACAAATAACAATATTATGAGTGCAAGAGTCTATGCTTACTCTGAAGATGGCTGGCAGAGAGGGACAGAAAAAAATCCTCTTAATTTGTACAGTGGATTGGAAATGAAACTTGACCTCTATTATGTCTCACTTTCTTCACTTTTTAAAAAGGGGTAGCCGTATTTGGTTCTCTCACTGGAGTGGCACACAAATTAACTTGCTAACGATCATAAAATGCGTGAAAATTCAAAAGACTTTCTATAGATTTCTCATGAATACAGCTCTGGAGCAAAAACTAGGGACAGTCAGTCCATTTTAAAGATCATCAACCTTAGAGTCCATTTACAGTCCATGTTAAAGTCTCCCATAAGCATAGTGGGAAACAGCTTAACTACTTTTAAGAAGTTCTTGAAACACTTTTGTGAATGTGTATACTAAAACACTTTTTATGGACTTTCCGAGACTGATAATTTTTTCTAACCAAATTAATATCCAGTCATTTGTGTAACAGCAAAGGAGATAAATTCCACTTGAATATAAATGTGGGGTATAAGCCCTCATCTCACCAATTAAGCATGAGGACCAGAGTGCCATTCAAGGAATAACAAGGTTATGTATTTAATTAATCTCTAGGCAAGGAAAAAACTCACATCATCATTATTTTTATTATTACATCAATTATAAAGTTATTTGTCAAAATCTCCATACAAAGGTCACCAGTGAAATATGTTGATTATTCAAAGCTGACCTCTATAAATTTGCTGAATAAGAGAGAACACATTCTTCCCAGGGTCTGAGTGTGGTCTCCAAAAGGAGATATATTAAGGATACTTATCAGCCTAAGAGAACTGGGGTTAGTGAAAGCTGATTTTAGGTCAGAATTAGAAAGCATAGTAGTGGATACAGATTGGTCGAGGTTTATAAACCATATGAGTTTCTGAAACAGTTATAATCTTCTCTTTGAAATATGTAAACTGTGAAACATGAAATACTGACATGCAGAGTTAGTATTACTCTGGTCTTTTCCTGTATGATGGCTCTGTGAAGCTGGTTTTAAAGTAACTGGAGCTTAGATACTTCTGCTGCATATTATGTTTGCTATAGTTTATCTTCTTTGCAAGTCATAATATATTTTGCAACTTGTAGTTGATTGTATTTCTCAGTCCCAGTCCTACCCTACTTCTGGTTATACTTCAGTCTAAGTTGAAGAATAGACCATCATTATTTTAAAGGAACAAGATCAATCAAGATCTTCACTGCAACTTGATGTTTCATGATTGTGTGTCAAGTGTTTTAAGATACTTGTATGATTTGTGTAAGTGCTGGACCTTTTTTGTTCTGTTAGATGATCATATTTTTGAAATATTCAGTTTGATAGTAATCACAGAGCAGCATTTATGATTCTGGGTATCCAACACTTGGTGACTGAAACACAGATAAATGTTAAAAGCTTTCTTGAATAACCAGTGGCTTATTTAGTGCTGCTTTCAAGATCTATTGTAAGGCGGGTCTGGTGGTAATCAACTCCCTCAGAATTTGCTTATCTAAAAAAATAATCTTACTTCTCCTTTGCATAGGAAGCTTAGTTTGGCTGGATATGAAATTACTGGTTGAATATTTTTTTTAAGAATGTTGAATATAGGCCCTCAATCTCTTCTGGCTGGTAGGGTTTCAGCTGAGAGGTCTGCTGTTATTCTAATGGGGTTCCCTTCGTAGGTGACCTGTCCTTCCTCTCTTGCTGCCTTTAACAGTCTTTCTTTCATTTCAACTTTAGAAAATGTGATGATTATGTGTCTTGGGGATAATCTTGCATAGACTTGCAGAGGTTCTCTGTATTTCCTGAATTTGACTGCTGGCCTCTCTAGTGAGGTTGGGGTTCTTTTCATGGATGATATTCTGAAATATGTTTTCCAAGTTGTTTGCTTTCTCCTCATCCCTTCCAGGGATGCCATAGATTTGGCCTCTTTACATAATCCCATATTTCTCAGAAGTTTTGTTCATCATTTTTCTTTTTTTCCTCCTTATTTTTTTCTGACTGTCTTATTTCAGAAAGCCAGTCTTCAAGTTTAGTGATGCTTCCCTCAGCTTGGTCTGTTCTGCTGTTAATACTTGTGATTGCATTATGAAATTCTTGTAGTGTGTTTTTCAGATTTATCAGATCAGTTAGGCTCTTTTTTATACTGGCTATTTTGTCTGTCAGCTCTTATATTATTTTACTGTGATTATTAGTTTCCTTGGATTGGGTTTTGACATCTCCTGAATCTCAATGATCTTCATTTCTATCTATTTTCTGAATTCTGTTTCCTTCATGTCAGCCAACTCGCCCTGCTTAAGAACCCTTGTTGAAGTAGTGTAGTCGCTTGTAAGACTTAAGACACTCTGGCCATTTGAGTTGTTGGAGTTCTTGAATTGGTTCTTATCTCTGTATCAGTGTTCCTTTAACTGTGGTGTAGATTGAGTACAGTTAGTAGACTTCTGTATGTTTTCAGAGGGTTGAGGCTTTGTGCAGGGTAATTTTTGAAACAGACTTCTTGTCTTTGGTTTCACATGGGGTCATGCTAGTGAGGTAAGTTTTGTGTTAAAGCTTTGGGGTGTGATCCAGTAGGTGGTGGTTAGACATACTGGTCAGTTGGTAGACTCTTTCTCAGTTGAGTGGCTCCCCTACATTCTTTCACAGTTGCAGTCGTGTTCCCTCTCTATGCTCTGAAAGTGTGGGCTCCTCTCCCACTTGAGCGTGGACTATACATCACAGCTTGGCTGGGCCAGGAGTGATCTCAGGGTTTATGTTTCCTCCCCAACTTGGAGACAGCAGATGAAGGGACCTTAGCAGTGGTGTGGCCAAGGGTCTTTTAGTTGTCTCCTGGGGGACCCACTCGAGAGATGCAGGTCAGCAATTGCTCAGTGCCATCAGCCTGAGATGGGAGATTGGTGCTATGGGCCCAAGCCAGGGGTTCCCTGCCTAGTGATGAGCAGTGGGTGGGACCCATGGGAGGCAGACTGGCCTCCTCTCCTTGGGTCAACTGCAGCTCGTTGGAGGTGTGGATAGGACAATTAGGGTCTTTGCTCCTTCATTAGTCCAAGTATAGCGGGGTTAGTACCACCGCAGAAGCAGTGGCAGAGGGGCTTTTGGTTGCCCCTGGGGGCTCCACCTCTGAGAAATGTGGAGCTGTTAGTTACTGAGAGTTTAGCCAGTGAGGTGAGGCACCTGTACTGCTTGGGGTTTACTTGTTGGGGACAAGAGGGATGAGTACTCACTGGGAGGAAAGACTAGTCTCCTCTCCATATGGTGACTGTGGTGTGCTACAGCCTCAGGTGTAGCCCTCAGGCTCTTTGTTTCTTTCCCCATATCAATGGTAGGAGGGATAGAACCACTGCTGTGGCAGGGGCAGAGGTGCTGTTGGATACCTCTGGGATTCTCTCCCC
Source organism: Homo sapiens (assembly GCF_000001405.40). NCBI lineage: Eukaryota > Metazoa > Chordata > Mammalia > Primates > Hominidae > Homo > Homo sapiens. The sequence goes on from NC_000002.12 coordinate 49,665,554, forward strand.
AGGGAAATTCTGGGTCACTACAACTGGGTATGTTTAGCCATGGGGTGGGGGTAACTGTTCTGTTGTCATGAGCCAAGGGCCCTGCCTGGTGAATAGTGGGAGGTAGGGGTTCCCAGGGAAGAGAGGCTGGACTCCTCTCTGTATAATGTCTGCAGTGTGCCAGCAGTGCCAGCATAGTGACTAGGCTCTTTGTTCCCTCCCCAGCCCAACGGCTATTTGGGTGATACCCTACAACTGCAGTGGTAGAGGAGCTGTGAGTTTACTCTGGGATATCCTCCTTGGAGAAATGCTGGACAGCCTCTGATTCAGGTGATCAGGCAGAAGCAGAGTGGCTGTACTGGTGTTGCAAGTCGGGTGGCCCTACCCAGTAAGAAGTGAAGACTGGGACCTGCACAGAGAGCAGTGCAGTCACTTTTCCATGAGTTGAGTGCTCTGTGCTGGGGGTCTGCACCAGCCTATAGTCCCTGCAGACTCTCCAGAGCCTGAAGACAGCAATGGCAAGGGTGGTGAGACAGCAAACATGGCAACATGCCCACTGAGAGCTCTGTGCCAGAAAGTTGAAGTGCTGCTACTGGCTAAATAGCCCTAGTAGAGGGTGGCTGGAGACTCAGGCTGGAAGAAATGGGATCGGGGACCCACAAAACAAACAGTCTGGCCACTTTTCTGGAGGGTTGCTGCAGTATGTTGGGGGTCAGCTCCAGTCTCTAGTCACCTAAGATTTTCCAGCATCTGAAGGTATCAACAGTGAAAGGTGTGAAACAGCAAAGATAGAGGCCCGCCCCTCCCTCTGTGAGCTCCATCCTAGGGTGGTACAAAATTGATGCTGGCCCTAACACACCGGCAGGAAGTGGCTGGAGACCCTAGTCAGGAGATCCCACCCAGTGAGGAGGAATGGGATCAGGGACCCACATAAAAATACCAGTTTGGCCACTTTTCTGTAGGGCAGCTGTGCTGTGCTGGGGTCTGCTGCATCCCCTGGTCACCTCAGACTCTCTACAGCCTGAAGGCAACAACATCTAAACATGTTTGTTGTTAAACGGCAAAGACAACGGCCTTGCCCTCCCTGTGGGAACTCTGTCTCAGGGAGGTTTGAAACTGCTGCTGGCTGGAAGACACTGGGATGGGTGGCTGGAGACTCTGGTTGGGAGGCCTTGCCCATTAAGGAGGAATGGGATCAGGGACCTGCTTTAAAAAAGGAGTCTGATCTCTTTTTCTTAGAGCCATTGCGCTGTGTTGGGGTCCACTCCAGCCACTAGTCACTTCAGACTCTCCAAAGCCTGAAGGCAATAGTGACTAAGGCTCTAAAACAGCAAATATGGTGGCCCACCCCTCCCTCTGGGAGCTCCGTTCCAGGGAGGTATGAAACTGCTGCTGGCCAGAAAACACCAGCAGGGGTGATTGTAGACCTTGGTCAGGAGATTTTGCCATTGAAGTGAGATCTGGGATGCATGTGAAAAAGCAGTCTGGTCACTTCTTTGTAGAACTGTTGCACTGTGCTAGGGGACCACTCAGTCCCTAGTTGCTGCCCACTCCCTAGAGCCCAAAGGCAACAATGGCTAAAACTGTGAAAGAGCAAAGATGGCAGTCCATCCCTCTCCCTGGGAGCTCCATCCCAGGGAGGTTCAGAATCACTGCCAGCTGGAAAATAGCAGTGAGGGTAGCTTGAGACCCTGAGTTGGGAGGTCCTACCCAGTAAGGAAAAGTATGGTCAGGGGCCCAAATAAAAAAGCTGTCTGGCCACTTCTCTATAGGTCAGCTGCAATGAAGGCAACAAAGGCTAAGGATGCCACACAGCAAAGATGGCGGCTTACCTCTCCCTCTGGGAACTCCAAATCAGATGAGTGTAATGCTGCTACTGGTGACTGGCTGGAGCTCCAAGTCAGTGGGTCTTATCCTCTGAGGTGCTACAGAATCAGGGCCCTCAGACCATTGCTGCCTAGTCCCGTGGATTCAGTCATTTTCCTATGGGTATGTATGGGGGTCTAAGCCCCTACTCTGCCAGAGCTGTAGCCACTTTTGCTGGGAAGCCTGGGTATCTAAAGCTCCTGGGTCTCCATGTGTGCCTGAGCATTTGCTCTACTAAGACTCTGCATAGCTGTGTGTGTCAGCCTGAAAGCCCTTGTGAAGTGGGTTCATGAGGGGCTCTCCTGACCTGAGAGTTGCAGATATCCTTGGAAGAAGTGTGGATCCTTGGGGTCCCTCATTCACTCATTACTTCCCTGGACAGTGGAGTCTCCCCTGGCTCCATGTTACTTTCAGGTCAAGACTCCGCATAGCTCTGTGTGTCCACCTGAAGGCCCTTGTGAAGTGGGTTCATGAGAGGCTCTCCTGACCTGAGAGTTGCAGATATCCATGGAAGAAGCCTGGGTCCCTCATTCATTCACCACTTCCCTGGACAGTGGAGTCTCCACTGGCTCCATGTTGCTTTCAGGTGGGCAATCGTCTTGCCTTGCTTTTCTCCACTCTCTGTGGGTCAAATTGTTTGCTTGATGAATCTGAATGCATGTACCTGGATGTTTCAGTTGAAGGTGCTGTGTTTACTCACCCGTTCTATTTCTGTCCATGAGAGTGGTGCACACTAGCTGCTTCTACTCGGCCATCTTGGCCAGCCCCATCCCTCCATTAAATCTTAAAGCTCCAAAATAATCTCCTTTGACTCCATGTCCCATATCCAGGTCACACTCATACAAGGGGTGGGCTCCCTAAGTCTTGGACACCTCCACCCCTGTGGCCTTGCAGGATTCAGCCCCTGAGGCTTCACTCACAGGTTGTTGAGTGCCTGTGGCTTTTCCAGATGCAGGGTGCAAGCTGCCAGTTGATCCACCAGTCTTCTGCCTAGAGGAGGGTAGCTCCCTTCTCTCAGCTCCATTAGGCAGTGACCCGATGACAACTCTGTAAGGCCTTTTCTTCATTGTCTTGAATATTAGCATGGAACATCCTTTTAGTTAGGCAGCTATCTCTAGCAAGTGGTTGATTCACAGCCTGCTTGAATTCTTCTCCTGAAAAAGCTTTTTCTTTCTCTGCCACATGGCCAGTCTGCAAAGTTTCCCAACTTTAATGCTCTCCTTCCATTTTAAATATAAGTTTCCACTTTTAGTTATTTTTTTTTTTTTACTCCCTCATCTAGGCATAGGCTGTTAGAAGGAGCCAGGCCACATCTTGAACACTTTCATGCTTAGAAACTTCTTCTACCAGATACTCTAAATTATTACTCTTTTGTTCAAACTTCCACAGTTTGAACAAAACTGGGCATGAACAGAATGCAGCCAAGCTCTTTGCTAAGGTATAACACACATGATCTTTGCTCCAGTTCCCAATAAGTTCCTCATTTCCATCTGAGATCTCAGCACCCTAGAGTTGATTGTCCGTAATGCTGTCAGCATTTTGGTCACAACCACTTAACCAGTCTCTAAGAAGTTCCAAGTGTTCCCTTGACTTTGTATTTTCTTCTGAGCCATCTAAAGTCTTCCAACCTCTGCCCGTTGCCCAGTTGCAAAGCTGCTTCCACATTTTTAGGTATATTTATAGCAATGCACCACCCCTCGGTACCAATTTTCTGTATTAGGCTGTTCTTGCATTGCTATAAAGAAATACCTGAGAATGGGCAATTCATAAAGAAAAGAGGTTTAATTGGTTCATAGTTCTTCAGGCTGTACAAGCAGCATGGCACAGGCATCCACTCAGCTTCTGGGGAGGCCCCAGGGAGTTTTTACTCATGGCAGAAGGCAAAGCAGGAGCATGCACTTTACATGGTGAAACAAAGAGTAAGAGGGAGAGAGTAGAGGGGGTGCTACATGCTTTTAAATAACCAGATCTCATATTAACTGAGAGCTAGAGCCCACTTATCACCAAGGGGATGGTCCAAGCCATTTATGAGGAATCCACCCCAGTGATCCAAACATCTCCAACAGGACCCCACCTCCAACTCTGGGGATTACATGCAATATAAGATTTGGGTGGGGACAAACATCCAAACTATATCAACATCTCTTCATCTGTCTGTTCATTTGTATTCTTTGTAATATCCTTTATGATAAATAGGTAAACATAAGTGTTTTCCTGCATTCTATGAACCATCCTCACAAATTAATCAAACCCAAAAACGAGATTGTTGTAACCCTTGTTTGTAACCCATTGGTCAGATGCATAAGTTACAATCTGCTATTTTTGACTGGCTTCTGAAATGGCAGCAGTTTTCCTCAGCTGAGCCCTCAAACTGTGGGATCTGATACTCTATCCAGGTAGATAGCATTGAAATTAGACTGACTTATCGGATATCTAGTTGGTATCCTGGAGGATTGCTTGGAATGTGGGGGAAAAAACTCACATATCTGACCACAGAAGTGTTCTATGTTGAGTGAGAGTATAGTAGGGAAAAACAGTTTGTATTCTCTTATACAAAAACAAAATAAACATGAATAAATTGAATCTACATAAATAAAATTTGATAAGGAGAGACCTTTACAGTTTGATCATTAGCTTTCATTTACGAATTCTTCCACTTAATGCTCTGATTTTTTAGTTTGCAATTTTTTCTCCATGGCTGGGGCTTTTCAGTTCCCGTTACATCTCTGTGAAGATTTTTAGTCCTGTTTGTCCATGAGAAGTTAATAACCACCTTTACTGAATAAACAGACTTGCATCTAGTGTTTAAAAAGGGACCACTGGCCGGGCGCGGTGGCTCACGCCTGTAATCCCAGCACTTTGGGAGGCCGAGGCGGGTGGATCATGAGGTCAGGAGATCGAGACCATCCTGGCTAACAAGGTGAAACCCTGTCTCTACTAAAAATACAAAAAATTAGCCGGGCGCGGTGGTGGGCGCCTGTAGTCCCAGCTACTCGGGAGGCTGAGGCAGGAGAATGGCGTGAACCCGGGAAGCGGAGCTTGCAGTGAGCCGAGATTGCGCCACTCCAGTCCGCAGTCCGGCCTGGGCGACGGAGCGAGACTCCGTCTCAAAAAAAAAAAAAAAAAAAAAAAAAGGGACCACTGTGCAGAGTCTAACAACAGTGCCCTAACTTTAATGAGGCAGATCCTAATTATATTTAGTTTCAGAAGGTTGTAATATTTTTTCTTGTGGCTAAAACTTGGGTATGTCAAATAATTGATAAAGTAGGATTTTTAAAAACTTTTACCATGGATTTTTATTGTAGCAATATTTAAAATGCATTTTTAGACTTTAGGATTGCCTAAATGAAACTATTCATATAACAGTTTTGTTGGTAACATACAAGGTTGGAAGAGGAAAAAGGTTTAGCATTTTCCACATTGAACAGTTAAGAATAGAGATCTGCATAAAAATTGTTACCATTACTATGGTTTGAATGTTTTTGCCTCCTCCAAAACTCATGTTGAGGTTTAATTCCTAATGCAACAGTGTTGGTGGGCGGGGCCTAAAGGGATGTGTTTACATCATGAAGGCTGTGCCCTCATAAATGGATTAATGACATTATAAAAAAGGTTTGCAGGAGTGGTTTTTCTCTCTTTCATTATTCTGCCATGTAAGGACACAATGTTTGTTCCCACTTGCGTTCTGCCATCCACTACAGGAGGATGCCATAAGAAGACTGACACCAGATGCCCAGGTTCTGATGTTGGACTTCCCATCCTCTAGAGTTACGAGAAAATACATTTCTGGTTTTTTGTTTGTTTTTTTTTTGTTTGTTTGTTTGTTTTTTGTAAATTACCCACTCTCAGGTATGCTGTTACAAGAGCACAAAACAACCTAAGACACCTAGGATACAACTGCTGTGCAAAATGACCTTTTTTCATCTGTGTGACTTCACATTTCCTCACAGATGTTACATGAGTCTGTCTACTCTATTGGGCATAAACATCTATAACTCACTGTATTACCTTTCAACTGCATAAATGGTGCTCAAAGACATTTAAACATCATGGCCAATCTGGTTTCAAGATGATGCACATATTTTGAAAGTGAGACGTTATGTTTATGACTCCAGCAAAAAAATACTATATTACCATTCAAAAATGGCACTGCCTTTTTGAGTGTACAATGTTATTAAAATATCTCCTATTACCATTTTCCTACAGGGCAAAAATAAATAGGCAAGGAAAATGTGTTCTCCTAGGAATTCCCTTTTCTCATTTCCATGGAAAATTCACACTATTCATATAAAATGTATTTGTTTTCTGTTCAGGCTGGAGTGTGTCTTACCCCGATTCAATGACATCCATTTAGCTGACTTCATGCTTAACTGCATATCCTAGGGCTATGGTAATTTGCACACCCTCTGCCTTTACAGGATGCTGCAGGTCAAATTGTGCTTGTTGACAGAAAATGAAACAAAGACGTGCTGCTCCCCACCAACTCTATGCTCATGGTCTGGGCCTGGACCATTGTGCATATTTGTTCATTGGATGAGGAAAGGCACTCTAGAGGATATAAGAATAGGCAATATGATCATTAAGTAGAAAATGGAGAGTCCACTTTTAGAGGGCAAGATTGTGTTCCTACATCCTGGCAACTCCTTACTACCCATTCCCAAGCACCTGATACATTGATCTACATATAATACTTGCTTACAACATGATATAATGGCTTTAAAGAGAAACAAAATTCCAACTGATATTTTGAAAATAAAATACTACACTGAATCCATATTCTCCCTCCTTTTATCTTTAACTGACTTACCATTAGTTCCATACATGCCTTAAATTCTTTGTTCTTTTATGGGTGTATATATTTAGATTTTATTCTAAGTAGTACTGTCTTTAACTTGTATAATTTTTAATGTCCTATTTAATATTTTATTTGATTCTGGCAACCACCCTATCTCCCCTATAACATGAGTATTTTAGAACTAAAGTCTTTGTCTTATTTATCTTTGTAACAACAGTGCCTAAGAGACTACTTGACATTGTAGGTTGTCATTCTAACTGCTGAATAAAAACTATGAACAAAATACTAAATGAATGGGTGAATCAATTTCATTGGAACATCAGGAAGTATGTCATCACAGCAGGTTTGCTTTTGAATTCAACTCCACTAACTAATGAGAAGTAGGCCAAAGAATTCTTTCTTATGAGAGAAAGCAAATAAGCGGATTAGGTTAAGTCTATTAACTTAAAAATTGCAACAACAATAAAAAATCTCCAGGAGAGGAAGAGCAAATAGACCAAGTAAAGTCAGAAGGTCGGAATATTGGAGTAGAGAAAAACAAACCCACTCAACAGAGAGGACAAATACCGGTAGGGCTCGAGGCATTTTGCTCTCAAGAGATTGTAGTTAAGACAATGAGTAGGAATTATAGTCACCAGAAGAGATGAGTCACCAAAAGGAGAAGAAAAGAATACTTTTTGTTTGTTCGCTATTTCCATTATTTGGAAACAAACTATCACCAACTTAGGTTCTGCAGGTCAGAATTCTAGGTACCCTATAGCTAGGTTCTCTGTGCAGAATTTTACAAGGCTTAAATGAAAGTGTGAGCCAGACTGACTTCTCATCCGGAGTTCAGGGTCCTTTTCCTAGCTCCTTGGTTGTTGGCAGAATTCAGTTCCTCAGGTTTGTAGGACTGAGGTCCAGTGTTCTTGCTGACTGTCAGTGGAGGGGTCACTCATCTCTTTGAAGCTGCCTCAAGTTTCTACCATATGGCCTTTCCCACAACATAGCATGTTGTGTCTCCAAGGTCAGCAGGAGATCATCTGCTGCGGCTTCTTGTTTCTTTACTTTTTTTTTTTTTTTTTTTTTTAATTTTTGAGACACGGTTTCACTCTGTCACCCAAACTGGAGTGCAGTGATGGGGGGATCACAGCTCATTCCCGGCTGGGACTTCTGGCCTCAAGTAATCCTCCCACCTGGTCATCCAAAGTGCTGGGATTAAAAGTGTGAGCCACTGCTCCTGGCCACTTGTTCTTTTAAGAGCTTATCTGTTTGATGAGGTACACCTAGCCAATCTCCCTTTTGATTAGACTATAATTATATCAACAAAATCCCCTTTGCCATTACTTAGCCACATCACTAAATCATATCCCACATAGTCACAGGTATACCGAATTCAAGGGGAGAAGATTGTACAGGGTATGTACAACAGGGGAAAGAATCTTGGGAGCCACGCTAGAACTCTGCCTAGGGGAGAGAGTGAATAGTTAATACCCAAGAAGGGGAGAAAACAAGTTACAGAAAAAAAAATAAAGTGAGAAATGTTTAAAAGACTTCCCAATATTTGAATGATAGCTGTTGTTGATTCCCAAAGATTCAATAAGAGAAATGTCAGACTTGGGGCTGGGCAGAGGTGAACAGAAGCAGCCTCATAGAGGAAGACAGCAGAAAAAGAAACTTAATAATTTTCCAAAGGATGATGGTGACTTGTCAAGAGACGTATTAAAGGCTTTAAAATGGGCCAGGCATAGTGGCTCATCCCTGTAATCCCAGCCCTTTGGGAAGACAAGGCAAATGGATCACCAGGTCAGGAGTTCGAGAACAGACTGGCCAACATAGTGAAATCCCATCTGTACTAAAATACAAAAAAAAAACAAAAAAAAAATTAGCCAGGCACGGTGGCGTGCGCCTGTAGTCCCAGCTACTCGGCAGGCTGAGGCAAGAGAAACACTTGAACCCATGAGACGGAGGCTACAGTGAGCTGAAATTGCACCACTGCACTCCAGCCTGGGCCACAGAGCAAGAGTCCGTCTCAAAAAAAAAAAAAAAAAAAAAGACTTCCCAGTATTTGAATGATAGCTGTTGTTGATTCCCAAAGATTCAATAAGAGAAATGTCAGACTTGGGGCTGGGGAGAGGTGAACAGAAACAGCCTCATAGAGGAAGACAGCAGAAAAAGACACTTAATAATCTTCCAAAGGATGACGGTGCCTTGTCAAGAGACGTATTAAAGGAAAGAAGTCACAGAGTGTTTACCTAGTGATCACATTGGGAGAACTATCATTATAAAATTACTGGGGATAACTCTGAAAGACATGTTGGCAGTAATTCAACTTCTGAAGATTAAATAGAAGTTTTAGACGTGGGATAATAAAGGATGTTTTGAAAGAAATATAGTTCATAAAAAAAATTCACCAAATTGCTGGTTTGATTATGCAGAATTATAGTGATAAAAACTACATGAATGCTATTCAGAAATGGAATGACTGCCAGAAAAGACAAAAATGAATGACTAAAAAGGCACTAGCAATGTCATAATTTTCAGCTACACAAGAATGAGGTGAAAATAAAAACTATAAGTAAAAGCACTAAGAAAAAGTTTGAAGTGTCATGTAACGCAAGGTGTTAATTCTTGATATTGATGGGTGCATTCCACTGGCTGTGTCTGAGACATCTGCGGGGAGCCTTTTCCCTAAATAGAGAGGTTTAAGCTGATACATAGGGCTGCCAAAGGTAAACAACAGGGTATTTTTAATGTGAATGCTTTAAATATGGAGAGGAGAAACAAAATGCACAGGTGCAGAAACAATATTTTAAGCCAATTACATGACATCAAAGGGCATATTTAGTCCAATAGCTTAGTCATAGCTGTAACGACTAAAAGAAAAAAATAGAAAAGAATATATATGTGGAATAAAAAAGGGAAAGTCCACATTTTTTCCCAGAAGACATAGTTTGACTTGAGAGGTTGCTCCCCATGTCACTGAAAACAGAGCCAGTGGAGTTCAAGTTGATGCAGAGAACACTAACAGTGGGGCTCAGGATGACGAAAAAGCTAAAAAAATTCCAGAGATATGTGCATTATCAAATTGTCATGCACTTAATTCTCAGGTAAGAGTTCTTAAACTAGGAGACTAACATGAAGGAAAGTAGAAAACATTCAGAAGCTTGAGAAATGGTGACCGAGAAAGGAGAGGAAAAGCATTGAAAAGGTAAGTTCTAAATGAATGTCATGGAGCAATATGCATTAAAACAAAGTAAATAAGTGTTGTAAATGACAAGAGGACAGAATAGAAGCGATTAACAGAAATAATGAAAAGGGCCATAGAGTAGAAAAGAAGAGAAATAAAAATATTATTTCTTAGAAAGGTAGCATTCTGGCCAAGGACAGTTTCTTATCGAAGTTGCATTTTGTCTCCTGCTGTCTTGCCAGTCTCCACTTCTACCTCTTGAGCTGCTGCTGAAGCCAGTGTCTTCTTGTCCTTATCTCTCAAACCTCTTCTCCAAATCTGCCTTTCTTGGGAAATACTAAAAATAAATTTGAAGGACTCTATTTTATCAGAATTAAGTTGGTTTTTTTGTTGTTGTTGCTGGAGAGGAACCTGGTGAACTATTTCAAATAGTGATGCTGTCTGATAAAGCTTAATGAGATTTCCCCTCAGGAAACTGTACATTGTGTTACAAGGGAAGGAATTCCTAAGGGTGGGATTTTCAGGCAATGATAAATAGCAAATGGCTGATTGGGGATGATAGGCCTTCCCATTTCTATTAAAATTAAGCTACATGTATAACTGCCTAGTCATCCTGCAAATACAACTATTTTTTTAAGGTTTGCAGGAAAAGTTTGGGTCTTATAATTATCACTTATTTGGACCATGCACGTTATCAGCTGTCATCATAGAACAAAGCCAAGGCTAAATAGGTGTTGCTAATAGTTTTATTTCCATCCTAGTTTTGACAAATATTTATTGAAGGATCTGCTATGAGTTCAATAGTATTCTTGATGTTAGAGACAAAATAGGATTGAGTCCTGTTTCTTGCTGCCATGGAGCTCACAACTGAGCAATCTAGCAAGAAAGACAGTTCCGTATACAACTACCACATTTTAAAATACACATTTTATTTACATTCTTACCACCTCTTAAATCAAGATGCTCCATAAAATCGATCCTAGTTCAATGTGAAGCATTTCTCTTTCATAGTGGTATACAAAGTAATGGGGCATGTTACAATCAATGACATCTTACATTTCAGAAATGTAATAATTACGAAGAAATTAATGCTACATGAGTCTCACCAAAGAGTGAAGGAGAAAATAATGTCAGGGGAGTAATGATGAAGATTTAAAAGGATTTCACCAAGCAGGAGGGAGGAGGGATGGAAAGGCCTTCTGGTCATAGGGAAAAACAAGAACATACTGCATTTCAATCGTAATACATCGAGTAATTCAGGGTGTTAGTGTATAGAAGACCTTGGAAAAGTGGTATAAGATGAAACTGGAAGGTTAAGTTGCAATCAGATAGTAAAAATCTTTAAATGACTTTTACTGAATGTTTACAAGCATGAGTGTGATATCATTTATCCGATTTCTTTAGGCTTATTATGCCTTCTTCATGTCTCAATGATAGTGAGCTTGTATTAATTTTCATGACTGCATGGCAGTTTTAACTAGCTTAAAGGAGGCTTGTAGAAACATTAGCAGTACTCAAGGTTAAGTTGTTTTGTAAGACAGGTATTGATTTGATTCTTAGCTGGGTGACGTCTTACTCTCAAATAACAAATAAATATATAAAGATGGAGAAGAACAGTGATTTTTTTTAAAAAAGTGATTCAATTGAAATGGAGTTTAAAAGCCTGCTTTTCCTTCCCATTTGTGGATTATCCATCCACTATCTGATTTTGCTAGTATGGGATTTAATCTTTTTTTGAAGACTTAAGTGTGTATGTCCCTCTTCCCCTTTTCCATCTCTAGGAGAAGATGAAAATTATTGCTAATGTTAATATTTCTTCAGGACAGGAACATGTTTGATAATAGTTTATTATGTTAGTTTTTCCCTTTATTTTCATTAATTCAGAAATCATTCAACCCTAAATTAACAACCCATGACTGATTTAGCTCTTACAGTCACTTTTCTGGCTCCACTAGCCAGATTATTTCTTTATCCAAGAACCATGAGAAGTGCTTGGTTTGTGTTAGGCTGGCATGTTCTAGACAGCTGGCTGTCAGTACAGTGTAGTATGAACGCAATGTTCAGACTCAAGCCTGGGCTGCACAGCAGAGGCATCCTGTTGGCTGTGGGTAGGTGAGGGCAGCCACTTGGCAGCCACTGGACAGAAAGAAGCTAGCAGAGTGCAAGAGCTCTGAGGCACATTAACATATATTAATTCCATAACACATTTGTTCTACCACCAGTTTCATCAAAGCATGCAGGCTGGTTATTAGGCTATTACCTCTCCTCTCCAAATCCACCCTTTTTTTTTTTTTTTTTTTTTTTTTGAGACAGGGTCTTACTCTGTCACTCAGGCTGGAGTGCAGTGGCATGATCATAGCTCACTGTAGCCTCACACTCCTGGGATCAAGCAATCCTCCTGGCTCAACCTCCTCAGTAGCTGGGACTTCAGGTATGCATCATCATGCCCACCTAATTTTTTATGTTTTGTAGAGATGGGGGTCTCGCTATATTGCCTAGGCTGCTCTCAAACTCCTGGACTCAAGTGATCCTTCCATCTCAGCTTTCCAAGGTGCTAGGATTACAGGTGTGAGCCACCACTCTTGGCCCAAGCCCACATTTCTAAACCCAGTTTCCTGATGCTGGCCTGGGACTCTGCAAACACATGTGTGTTTTTCCATCTAGCTTCCTGTTAGGCGTTCAACTGGGGTGATAGAGTGAGCCTGCAAGGTTGGAGGAATGAGAAAGACAGTCTTTCCTGCCTTTATCCTCCCTGATTGCTGTTCTAGTTGCGGTCATGCCAGCAAGCACTTCTTTATCCCAGCAGCAACAGTTCTTCCCATAGATGCAAGTGAATGCAAAGAGGTCTGGGCCCCAGTCTCAGGCATCCCTTCTCTAAATTCCTATGTTTTATATTACTCTGAGCTTGTTCCTCTATTCTCTAGTGATGGTAGCAATTTTCTGATAACTTGGGGGGTTTTTTATTTGCTTTATTTTCTTTTTCCCCATTGGTTACCTACTTAATAATTTTATGCCTAGTTAATTCTTTTTTATATTAAATTTTTCATATTAGATTTTCTCTATTTAAATCACTGGTGTGTTTTCTATCCCCTGACTAGACTGGCTGATATTGTGTCAGTGATCTGTATCTAGTACCTATATCTCAGTTTGCAAGCTTATTTGTTTTACATCAAGGTTAGGACTTTGATATTTATAAGAAATATGATTAAGTAGGTTAGAGAAACAATTTCATGCATGTCCCCTTCACATTACTTGTGAGGAGTTCAAGGATAGCAATAAATGTAAGCATCAACCCTGCCCTTTTCTTTTTGGGCAATTTCTCACTTATTCTGGTTTCCTTCTACCAAAGAGAATGCCTTGTTTGGCATTCTTACATTGCCTGTACTAATTTCTTAGATTTTCCTGTGGTAGAGCTTATAATAAGACTGCATTAATGTCCTAATATCTAAAATACATGCTAGATTTATTATATTTCAACTTTAGCTCATTAAATTGGATATACTTGTCAAGATTTAATAGATGACATAAAATGTTAGATATCAAAATTATAGCTAAATTTAAAAACATTAACAAATAACACGCATAATAAGTATATAGCTCAACAAAAATATTACATGTAAAAAATAGGCTTTTTAAAATAAGAATGAGATTGAAATGTGTTCAAAATTTCTATATGAATTTGAGTGTTATTATTGCTGCAATTTGTATTAAGGGTCTATTATGTTCTAGGTGTTATCCCAAATTCTGGAATTTTTTTAAATGAATAAAATATTTGCCAAGTGGGTGAGTGAAATAGGCAAAAAGTAATTAATTATCTTAGATGTGACAAGTAAGCTCAGAAGAGAAGGTGACCATCCTTTTCAGCATGTGAGAAGGGACAGAGAAAGGGTTCAGAGGAGATAAACTAAAGTGGGTCATACAGAGTCCGCAGGAAGGGACAAGGAATGGGCTTTTGAGAAGAGAAAACAATGTGTGCCAAGGAGGAAGCATGGAAAATGTGAGAAATTTGAGATAGTTGCATATTATTAGAGTGGAATCTGTAAGAGTTGAAGGTGCATAGTAGTGGTATTAGAGTTAAGGACAGAGAAGAAAACCTGACAAGACCCTGGAAAGCTTCATGTCATCTTGCTCAGTATTAAATGTAATGGCCAAAACTGCAATTACTTTTGCACCAACCCAGTTATTTATTCATTACATAGGGACCCATTGAAGAATTTTAGGAAGTTTCCCTGAAGAGGTCTGCATCTTGCATAGGAACCCCATTATAGTCTGAGGAATGTCTTGAAGTGAGAGACTCTAGAGATAATAAAACTAATTAGCATGCTGTCTCAATAAGCCTTTGGGAAATCAACAGCAATCCCACAAATATCATACAATTTCCTCCTTTCCTTCTCATCTATATTTTAAATATATTTTGTTTTAAATCAGAGAGATGGAGAGGTTAGGACTGTCACGTGCAGGGGCTGTGATTTATGCATCTTTGCATGCCCACTGCCTAATATGATGCTTGCCACAAAGTAGGTCCTGGATAAATCTTGATTAATAATGAGTGATGGCACCTGAATTAAGGTAGAAGTAGAGAAAGTCAAGACATACTAGTGGATTAGGGAGCTATTTAACAATTACCAGAACAACTGCTTGGTTATGGATATGGGGAAAAGGAGATTAAAGTAACTATAGAGTTTCTGGGTAGACTGAGCAATTGGACAAATGGTGATGTCACACTGAGATTAAAAACAACAGGAGGCCGGTCGGTGTGGCTCACACCTGTAATCCCAGCACTTTGGGAGGCCGAGGCGGGTGGATCACCTGAGGTCAGGAGTTCGAGACCAGCCTGACCAACAAGGTGAAACCCCATCTCTACTAAAAATACAAAAATTAGGCAGGCATGGTGGCAAGTGCCTGTAGTCCCAGCTACTCGGGAAGCTGAAACAGGAGAATTGCTTGCACCCAGGGAGGTGGAGGTTGCAGTGAGCCGAGATCGTGCCACTGCACTCCAGCCTGGGCAACGGAGCAAGACTTCATCTCGAAATAAATAAATAAACAAACAAACAAATAAATACAAAATAAAAATAAAACCATCGTCAGTTCTTGCTTCACCCAAGACACCAGGAAAGACAATGAGACATTTCCTGAGGTTTTTACCCAAGCTATAACTTTGTTTCATAAAACGTTACTGCCACAATGTTTATTTATCAAACTGTCACTGAATTTTTGATAAAATAATACTTTGACATGTTATTTATGTTCTTTATCTTCTCTTTCATTACTTGGGATATCAGATATCTCTGCTAAAATTTCAACCAACTCTGCGGCTTTAACAAAATTTCCCTTCTCAATTTCCTTATAAACATATTTGTTGCCATTTATTATTTTAAAGACTTCAGAGCAATTTTTAACTAGCTTTTCCTATCTCAGCTGTGGAGTGTTTTCTGCATCCTGAGATTTTACTGCCCCTAGGAGACAGCAAGTATCAATTATTTTTAAAACAAAGATGAAAAACAGAATAACCTTCAACAGATACATAAGATTTAGAGATAACACAAATTTGGAATTGAGATATTTAGTTTATAAAAATAAAACCCTTTACTATTTGCTAACACAGAAGCACAGTTAAAATAACTGTTCCTGACTCACTGAGAATTACGAAGGTAAAATTTACAAAAATAATACACATCTATTAAATAAACTCAGAAGTAATCAATTCAAGCCTATTAGAGTAGAATGATAGTTATCAGAGGCTGTGAAGGGTGAGAGGGGGATGAAAAGAGGTTGATGGGTACAAACACACAGTTAGGAGTAAGAAATAAGTTCCAGTCTTCAACAGCACAGTAGGGTGACTACAGTTAACAACCATATACTGCATATTTCAAAATAGCTAGAAGAGAGGATTTGAAATGTTCCCTACACAATGAAATGATAAATGTTCGAGGTGATGGATGTCTTAAATACCCTGATCTGATTGTTGCACATTGTATGCATGTATCAAAATCACATGTGCCTCATAAATATGTATAGATAATATGTATTGATTAAAATAAGAAAAAAGAAAAACAAAAAACCCTATTAAAGGAGAAATGCCTAACGTGTGAACTGAAGGAAATAGATTGTATAGCTTCCCATGCCTCTTCTAGTTATAACAAATTTTGGGTTTTGTGTTTAATAATTTCAGCACTGTCAGTCACTGGCTCAAACTTCATCTGCAAAAGAGCAGAAAGTAACTCCTAAGTATGGCAGTTTCTGCCATCATAAACATAATAGCATTTTCTCTGGGTGATGTGTATGACAAATTCACAAACATTCCCTTTTACCCCAAATATAATTCTCTACTTAATTGTGGAGGTTCCTGTCCTCTGACTGACCACCAGATCTCAGACATTAATTTCCCTGAATGTCATTTCTCAGTGTTAATTTTCTGTGACCTTGTACTGATTTTTCCAATTGCCTCTCATTGCTTAATTCCAAAGATGCACCTTTTTATATGTCTTTTCTGACGGCCTTCAGCCTCAGTGAAGACTCACTCTTATAAAATGTCCCATTTTCAAACAACAAATTTATTCAAAAGTCATTCTAACTCATAATGGCATTATTTGAAACACTATAGTTTATAAGTATACATAAAAATAGTTACACCATGTAAAAATTCCTTACCCTGCGGTATTATGTACTTTGCACAGTGACCTCTGCTCCACTTTGTATTTCCCA
The DNA here is from genome assembly GCF_000001405.40 of Homo sapiens. Lineage (NCBI taxonomy): Eukaryota > Metazoa > Chordata > Mammalia > Primates > Hominidae > Homo > Homo sapiens. The sequence goes on from NC_000002.12 coordinate 49,682,068, forward strand.
TCCAACTAAGAATAGGAGGGGAGAAAACTATGCCAAAAAAGTTGACTCAGGAAACAATTCCAAAATCTCACGCACTTGAAAATATGTGTAGCTAGTACGGAATTGAGGAAAATCTGAATGAAAATGATGTAGAATCAAAACATAAATTACACAAGACTCCCCTGAACCATGCCAGTAGTCGTACCTTTAGAGCTGGCTAGAGATGCTGCTTAGTTGAGCCCTGTGCTTTAGATGGCCTGCATATTATAAACACATATTCAGAAAAATTCATTAAAGACACAGGGGGACACCTACCATCGGCATCTTGTGCTCAAGGCTAACAGAGCTCAATATAAAATCCCCAATATTAATCCTTATAACTAACACTATTCAGGGCGAAAAAAGACAGCTGCATCCAAATGTCATGAAGGTTTATGGGTTATGCTGCTGCCTACAGTACAGACTGAAAGTGCTTAGTTTAACAAAAAAAAAATCAAATTAATTAACTTGTCAAATGCATCCTCTTAGATGGCACAAAGGGAAGAGATTCTTGTTTAACAAAGTATTTTTTCCCAGCAGTGCCAAGTATCCATTTCCCTGCTCCTTTTCGGGGCACTCGAATTGGTGGTTCTGAATACTCATGTATTAGAGTGCTATTCCTAAAAGTTACAATGGAGGCTGAGAACGATTTGTCAATATTAAATAAATCACACTACTCAAATTTGTATATATGTGGGTTAGCAAAATATAAGCACAAGCCTAACGCTATTTTTTTCCATTCTCAATTAATTGGACATTGAACCCTAGAATTACAAATCTTGTTGTTTGTATCTTAAAAGTTAATAAGGTTAGTTGTAGAGCAAATGGAACCTTATTCATTTTTTATGGGAATGTAAGTTAGCAGGACCATTGTGAAAAACAGTATGGAGGTTTCCTTAACAATTAAAAATAGAACTACCATATGATCTGGCAATGCTACTTTTGTGTATTTATTCAAAAGATGTAATATCAATAAGTCAAAAAGATAATCTGCATTCCCATGTTCATTGCAGCACTATTCACAATAACGAAGACGCGGAATCAACCTGAGTGCCCATCAAGGGACGAATGAGTAAAGAAAATGTGGCACTTATACACAAATGAGTACTATTCAGCCTTTAAAAAAGAAAGAAATCCTGTCACTTGTGATGACATGAATAAACCTGGGTGAATTTATGCTAAGTGAGATAAGCCAGGCATAGAAAGACAAATAATATGTAATTTTTAGATATGAAACTAATAGAAGCTGAAAGCAGAAGGGTAGTTGTTGGGAGCAGGGGGTTAGCAGGAATGGAAAGATGGGGGTAAAAAGTACGGTTTCAATTAGACAGAATGAGTAAGTTCTGGAGATCTATTGTACAGCATGGTGACATTAGTTAGTAATGTATACTTGCAAATTGCTAAGAAACTAGATATTCAATATTCTTACCACACACACAAAAGGTAAGTATGTGAGATATGGATACGTTAATTAATTTGATTTAATAATTTCACAATTTATATATATTGAAATATCATGTTGTACCCCATAAAAGTAACTTAAGGTTCAATTACTTCAAAAAATTAAATAAAAATCCCATCCTCCTCAACATGTGATTAAAATCTTTATATTAATTAATCATAATTTGTATAATGCATTTTGACTTTAATAGAAAATGTTGAATATCAGAAAAAAATTTAAAGCACATACAAAAATTTTAAAATTTTCCATCTTTTATATTATTGCTGAAAACTTTTAAACTTTCTACACTGATCACGTCAGTATTTTTTTTTTTTGAGACAGAGTCTCGCTCTGTCTACCAGGCCGGAGTGTAGTGGCACGATCTCGACTCACTGCAAGCTCCGCCTCCCGGGTTCACGCCATTCTCCTGCCTCAGCCTCCCTAATAGCTGGGACTTCAGGCGCCCCCCAACACGCTCAGCTAATTTTTTGTATTTTTAGTAGAGATGGGGTTTCACCTTGTTAGCCAGGATGGTCTCGATCTCCTGACCTCGTGATCCACCCATCTCAGCCTCCCAAAGTGCTGGGATTACAGGTGTGAGCCACCGCGCCCGGCCTCACATGTCAGTTTTTATCTTTTATATCATTGTCTTGTTAGAATGAAAATTATGTGAAAATCTTGATTATTCCAACAAAATCAGTCATTTCGCTAAAAGGCAGAAAAGTAAATGTAATAAAGATGTACTAATTTATTATTTATATTTTAAATTTTTACCCATCCAAATATTTCCACTCAAAACCAAAACACAGACATGTTCAATAAAAATTAAGTTCAGCCACTTTTATTATTTTAGTAGTTTAATGCCCAATTTCAGGCATTAAAATAAGCATAACTTTACCATTTTAAATAATCTTGTCATTATTAGGAGAACTACAAAACACTGCTGAAAGAAATCACAGGCAATACAAATAAATAGAATAACATTCCATGCTCATGGATTGGAAGAATCAATATTGTTAAAATAGCCATATTGCCTGATATGGTTTGGCTTTGTCTCCCCACCCAAATCTCACCTGGAATTGTAATTCCCATGTGTTGAGGGAGCGATCTGGTGGGAGGTGATTGGATCATGAGGGTGGTTTCCCCCAAGCTGTTCTCATGATAGTGAGTTCTCATGAGATCTGATGGTTTTATAAGTGGCTCTTTTCCCTTTGTTCTCTCTCTCCCCGGCTGCCTTGTGAAGAAGGTGTGTGCTTCCCCTTCAGCCATGATTGTAAGTTTCCCAAGGCCTCCCCAGCCATGAGGAACTGTGAGTCAATTAAAGCTCTTTCCTTCATAAATTACCCAGTCTTAGGTATTCTTTATGGCAGAGTGAAAATGTACTAATACACAGCACAAAACAATTTATAGATGAAATGCTTTTTCTATTAAATTGCCAAGGTAATTTTTCACAGAATAAAAAGCAACTATCCTGTAATTCATATGGAACCAAAAAAGGGCCTGCATAGCCAAAGCAATCCTCGTCAAGAAGAAGAAAGCCAGAAGCATCTCATTACCCACCTTCAAACTGTACTACAAGGCTACAGTAACCAAAAGAGCATGGTACTAGTACGTGGACTAGTACATAGACACATAGACCAATACTTCAGAATGAAGACCCTTGGAATAAAGCTGCATACCTACAACCAACTGATCTTCAACAAGCTTGACAAAAATAAAACAATGGGGAGAGGATACCCTATTCAATAAGTGGTGCTGGGATAAATGGCTAACCATATGCAGAAGAATGAAACTGGACAGCTACGTCTTACCAAATACAAAAATTAACTCAAGATGGATTAAATACTTAACTGTAAGATCTCATATTATAAAAATCCTAGAAGATGACCTAGGAAATGCCTTTCTGGACATTGGCCTAGGCAAAGAAGTTACGAGCAAGTCCTTAAAAGCAAATGCAACAAAACCAAAAATTGACAATTGAGACCTAATTAAACTAAAGAGCTTCGGCACAGCAAAAGAAACTGTCAACAGAGTAAGCAGACAAAAAACAGAATGGGAGAAAATACTCACAAACTATGCATCTGGCAAAGGACTAATATCTGGAATCTAGAAGGAACTCAAACAAATCAACAAGAAAAAAACAACCTCATTAAAAAGTGGGCAAAGGACACGAATACACTTACCAAGAGATGACATACACATGGCCAAGAAACAGGAAGAAAAATTTTCAGCATCACTAATCATTAGATAAATCAAAATCACAACATGATACCATTTCACACCAGTTAAAATGGCTATTAAAAAGTCAAAAAATAACATGTTGGTGAGGTTGTCGAGAAAAGGGAATGCTTATACACTGTGGATGGGAATGTGAATTGGTTCAGCCCCTGTGGAAAGCACTTTGGAGAATTCTCAAAGAACTGAAAGTTGAATTACCATTCAACCCAGCAATCCCATTACTAGGTATATATCCAAAGGAAAATAAATCATTCTACCAAAAAGACACCTGAACTTGTACATTTACCAAAGCACTATCAACAATAGCAAAGACAAGGAATCAACTCAGGTGCCCATCAGCAGTGGATTGGATAAAGAAAGTATGGTACATACATTATACCATGGAATAGTATGCAGCCATAAAACCAAAACAAAATCATGCCCTTTACAGCAGCACAGCAGTGGTCAGCAACCTTTCTGACACCAGGGACTGGTTTCAGTTTCCTGGAATATAACTTTTCCATGGTTGAGGTGGGATGGGGGGATGGTTTTGGGATGAAACTGTTCCACCTCAGATAATCAGGCATTAGAATCTCTTAAGGAGCATGCAATCTAGATCCCTTGCATGCACAGTTCACAATATGGTTTGCGTTCCTATGAGAATCTAATGCCACTACTGATTTGACAGGAGGTGGAGCTCAGCAGTAATGCTCACTTACCTGCTCCTCACCTCCTGCTGTGCAGCTCATTTCCTAACAGGCTACAGACCAGTACCAGACCATTGTCAGGGGAGTCGGGGAAGGACAGGGAGAGAGGAGGAAGGGGTATAATCATCTGGAACAAAATAAAATAATATCTTCACATTTTGGGATATAACATGTTCTTGCTTCTGCAGGGGTACAAAACAAACAAAAGACTTCCCAGGACCCTCAGTGACCTTGAGTCCATGTTCAGAAATAGAACATTAATTTACCAGCAACTTAATGTTTTGCCTTCATTTCCATCTGCATGTTATAGATTTAATTTTTTAATACAACATAGAATAAAAGGTGCAACTTCTGAAGCAAATTGAGGTGCTGCAGTCCAAAGTAAAATGCAACTTATGCATCGACCAATCTGAAACTGTCCTTTAGCACATTAGAAATAACATACTTCCAATTTTATAATATTTATTTATACATCAGGCATTTGTAGAATTACTATGAGAAATTATGCCTTCCATCTCCCTCACTTCTGCTGTCAAGTTCACATGAATTCATTTCCTTAGGTCATCAAAGAGTGAATGTAAATAAACGGAGGGAGCAGCCAAGACCTGCATCTCAGCCTTAAATACACACATAGTCCCAGCTTCCTACCTCCTATGATTAGCAGTGGTTTAAGAAAGAACCTCTTTTAAAAAGTCTGTCCCTTCTTACTGAAACTGTAAATTCTTTTCACAATGAAAAAAATCAAGCCACAAATGCAAATATACTAAGATAATCCTGTAAAGCACTTGCTTAAAAATAATTGTGGTCTCTTGTTTGCTGCAAGGCAGGGTTTCAACTCCTTAGAGTGTCTATCTAGGCTCTTACATTTCTGTTCTAAAACTGCCTTCCCAGCCTCTGCTCCAGCCACTTCACCCACAAATTCTAAATCTATGTTATGTGCCTGGTCATCGTTACCCCAAAATAAAATTTCACCATTGCATACCTTTGGCTATGTTTTATTATCCCCAAAGACCCTCCCCAGTGTAGAACATAGGGCAAAATACTTGAAGCTTCAAATCTCAATTGTCTGTCTCTTTGTTTTCCTGTAGCTCTCCCTGACTCTTCAGTCTACCAATTCTTTCTTCATCTGAAGTTCGCTGGCACTTTATACAATTCTTTCTTTCAGCATTTATGTTGAATTTTAACTGTTTATGGACCTCCCTTCTTTGCCAGGGTATGTATTCCTGAGGGATGGAGAAGGACACTGCTTTATTCATTTTTATGTGCCCAGCACCTAGAACACCTGACACATGTAGACCCAATAAATGTGAAATTGAATTGAGTCTTCCAGGGAGCATATTGGCTTAAAATCACACCAAGGTAGACATTGCTAATATAGGTCTTTGCTAAGGATAAAATGTTTATTTATTTATTTCTATTTTTAGGGGAGAGTGTAGAGAATGCTTGAGGGCACTAAAGGTGAAAACAATATACAAGAAATTTTATGACATTTTCTCTCAATAGATATTTCTAGTTTTAGAGCCACATTATACAGTGCAGAGAAAAAAAAAATCTTTTTTATTTAATGTTGATGTAGCCACTTGGCCAGCAGAGGGAGAAAATACAATACAAAATACATGCAGTGATATTTAGCTCTCTCCATTATAAATGATGTGATATTTTATGTTTTCTTTTCCATCACTTTCAGGTCAGAATATGTATGAAATTATCCAAGAATATGTAGTTATCTAAATCATCTCTACCATCTTCCCCCAAATGTTAAAGTCTGCCTTTATTTTTCTTTAGGTTGAAAGAATTCAGCAGTGTATTTTACTCGAGAGCCAGTAAGCTCTCATCTAAAATTAATAGAAAATTATGCCTTTCAGAGAGAGCTGCAATTTCCAGATGCTCATTTCGTCTCTCATTGCACACTAATGAAATGAACTGGAATATTTAGGCGTTAGATATTCTATTGCTTGGGTCTGAGGGCAGTTAGCCAAAATCTGATGGTGCAAGATAGAACTGCTCTTCCCCTATAGTACAAAGAGACTTGCTTATAAGATTGGAGGGGGTGGGTGTGTGGGTAAGGTGTGGTTGTCTATGTTGTGTTATGTAATGTAGTGTGTATGTGTATATATACACACACACATATATATACACACACATATATACAAAGACACACACACATATGCTTTTCCATCCCACTAAATTTATACTACATTTGCCTAATGAAAGCATAATGTAGAAAATGCTTATTAACAGGTAAAATGAGGATATTTACTCACATCAAAACCTGATTCTTTTCTGTACAATATAATTCAAAGCTCTCATCCATGCATGTCAAATAAGATTAGAGTTTTTAAAACAATAGGATATATAAAGTTTTCACATTCATTGCAAAACATCTACTCCTTAGGAAATTTAATTTGTGAGGAAAACAAACAAATCTGAGAGATTATTAGCAGCAGTTACAAATAGCTTGTGCTAAGTGTAGTGTGCCAACCTCCCAGTCCTAAACCACACCCATCCCTTCACTCCATTAGCTCACCATCTCTTATTTCAGTCTTATCATCTTATAATCCATATTCCATGCTATAGCTAGAGTTTTTAAAAATTATTTTTTATTTTTAAATCATTGTAAATTCCATTCAATTGTAAAAAACAATACAAGGAGTTTCGATGTGCCCTTTACTCAGTTTCTCCCTCATGGTAACATCTTGCAAAACTGTAGTGTAATATCACCAGCAGGATACTGACATTTATACAGTCAAGACAGAAAACATTTCCATCATCACAAGCCTCCTTCATTTTACCCATTATAGTTACACTAACTTCCCTTTCCCATCCCACATCCCTGATCTGGTCTCGATATTTATAATTTTGTCATTTTAAGAATATTATATAAGTTGAATCACATACAATGTAATCTTTTGCGATTGCTTTTTTTTTTTTCCTCACTTGGCATAATCTTCTGGAGATTCATCTAGGTTGTTGGGTGGATCAATAGTATGTTCCTCTCTTTGCCAAATAGTATCCAACGGTATGAATGTACCACAGTTTAACCATTCACTCATTGAAGGAAATCTGGGTTGTTTTCAGCTATTGGCTATAGTCAAGTTGCCATAAAAATTATATACAGGTTTTTGTGTGAACCCAGGTTTTTATTTCCATGGAACAAATACCCAGGGGTGAAATTACTGTGCCATATGGTAGGTTCTTGTTTAGTTTTAAAGAAAACACCACACGTTTCCAGAATAGCTGTACATTTTACACCCCTACCAGCACTGTATAAGTGATCCAGTTTCTATGCATCCTCACTGCAATTTGCTGATGTCATTATTTTACATATATACTTATATACTGCTATCTCATTGTGGCTTAAATATCTATTTCCCTAAAGGCTAGTAATATCGAACATCTATTCATGTGCTTATTTGCTATATGAATCTTTGGTGAAATGCCTCTTCATTTGTTTGCCCATTTTTTAATTAGATTGTTCTTTTACTATTGAATTTTAAGAGTTTATGAAAAAAAGAGTTTATGATACATTCTAGATAATAGTTCTTTGTTGGCTATGAGGTTTGCAGGTATTTTCACCACTTTGTAGCCTATCGTTTCATTATTTTTGACAAGATCTTTAAATAAATTTTATAACTTTTGATGATGTCTAATTGATTTTGCCTTTTATGGAATATGTTTATGGTGTGAACTCTTAAGAACTTTTTGCCTTTCCCTAGATTCCAACGATTTTTCTACTATATATTTTTCCTAATACTTTTATATTTTAATGTTTTACATTTAAATCCATGATCTATTTTGAGTTAACTTTTGAATAAGATTTGATAATTAAGTTGAGGTTTTTTTTTTTTTTTTTTTACTATAGATGTCCAATAGTTTCAACACATTTTGAAAGAATATCTTTCCTTGATTGAATTGCATGTACATCTTTTGTCAGAAAAGTTGGGTATATTTGTACGAATCTATTTCTGGATTAGCTGGTCTATTGTTTTAATCTATGTGTTTAGCCCTTAGCCAATACCACACAGTATTGACTACCATAGATATAGTAATAGTACGTAGTATATGACCATATACTGTAGCTATATAATACATTCAGCATTTTCTGAAAAATGAGAGGCATTGAGAGGAGTAGGATGATATGGAGTGAACTGAAGGAAAAAGTTTGGATCTCTGAAAGTATAAGATACTAAACAATACGACCTGAAGAAACTGAGACTGAGATTGAGGGCTGTAAGTGAAAAGTCTAGATGTAAGTGTCTACAAAAAGTGCAACTCAAAGAAGTAGACTTTGGGAGCCAACCACCAAGACAGAGAGCATATCGGGCATTCCAGCATAGACATTCTGTTGGAAAAGTCTGTAAGGTGACATTCACTCAGATTTCAATACATCTGACTTAAATTTATCTTCTGTAACAGTGGAGATTACTATGCCACAAACAGTATACATATCACACAGTGATCTACCACCACTCTATGACCAGTGAACTGATTCATGATAGATTAAATGCCAGCAATTGTTATATCAATATAGTGAATAATTTGTACTAGTGGATTGTCTTGCCAGGAGAAAAGTGCTTTCTACATCTTGAAATAACTCATTTTCCCAACTAAATAGTAGGAAAAAAATATTGCCACAATTTCCAGGGTTCAGTCTTTGTAGTTCTTAGGAAGATTGTATAGCGTTCATAGTAGCCATGAAATAAAGTATGAACATCTTTTTATGGACTGTCTTCAAGACTGAGTTTACCACATGACAATATTGATGTCACTCAATTGAGAATGTTAACACGGTTTATATTTCTGTGATATAGGGTTTACCTTACTTCTACATTTTAATCTAAATTGCCAGCTTGAGGTGGCAAAAGAAAAGAGGCAATAGCAAATTTTACAGTAGTGAAATTTAATATGATAAATATTGCTTAACTGAGGCCAAAATAATATGAAATTTGCTGTCTCAGGATAGTGAATGAACCATTAAACAGACTAAAAGAAGGCTAGGGTAGAGGTATATGGAGAGCAGGGTAGAGTGAAACAAACTGAAATACAAGGTAGAGATGTGTGTTAGATATTACATGGCCTTGTAGGACACATGAAAGAACTTGGTCATTGTTCTCAGTACAAGAGTAACAGATCAGCTTTTAAGTAAACCAATTAACTTTATTGTAGTACAGCCTTGAGATAATCCAGTCATTTTCAAATCGGTTGGACTTTTCATATACCTCATCAAGCATCATAAAAGATACATTCAAAATACTGGTGTCTGCCTATATCAGTAATTGTGGGTATACTAGATATGTTTATTTTTGAGCTCTTGAATGTAAATTTATATCTAAAGTTGAGGAAATATCTTCAATGCACATTATGAGTGACTTGAATTCTGGATTAGTATGTGCTCATGGACACTATTGGAATAAACATATAGACTACATTTTTTAAACTTTTTCTTAAAAAAAAAAAGCCGGGACACGTGCAGAATGTACTGGTTTGTTACATAGGTATACGTGTGCCATGGTGGTTTGCTACACCTATTGACCCATCCTCAAAGTTCCCTCCCCTCACCCTCCACCCCGCAACAGGCCCTGGAGTGCATTGTTCCTGTCTCTGTGTCCATGTGTTCTCACTGATCAACTCCTACTTAACAGTGAGGACATGCGATGTTTGGTTTTCTGTTACTGTGTTAGTCTGCTGATGAAGGCTTCTACTTCATCCATGTTCCTGCAAAAGACATGATCTCATTCCTTTTCATGGCTGCATAGTATTCTATGGTGTATACGTACCACATTTTCTTTATCCAGTCTATCATTGATGGGTATTTGGGTTGCTTCCATGTCTTTGCTATTGTAAATATTGCTCAATAAACATATGTGTGCATGTGTCTTTATAGTAGAATAATTTCTATTCCTTTGGATATATACCCAGTAATGAGATTGCTGGGTCAAATGGTACTTCTGGTTCTAGATCCTTGAGGAATCACCATACCGTCTTCCACAATGGTTGAACTAATTTACATTACCATCAACAGTGTAAAAGCCTTCCTATTTCTCCACAGCCTCACACCAGCATCTGTTGTTTCCTGACTTTTTAATAATCACCATTCTGACTGGCCTGAGATGGTATCTCATGGTTTGGATTTTCATTTCTCTGATGATCAGTGATGTTGAGCTATTTTTCATATGTTTGTTGGTTGCATAAACGTCTTCTTTTGAGCAGTGTCTGCTCATATCCTTTACCACTTTTTGATGGGGTTGCTTGTTTCTTGTAAATATTTAGCAAGAAAGCACCCTTTCTTCCACCACTCTACTTGACTACATACTTCCCACTCAATGCTTCGTACCTCTGCGAATCCTTAGAACACTACAGTGAACTGACATGAGGTCTAGCACACAGCTTTGAAAAGTCCGCTAATATAAAATGTTTTTAGCCACATCTGTCCATGGCATTCATCAACAATTTTTGAGAGAACTATTATAGATTCAATATTTCAATGCCCTACAAGTATTGCTCTCACTTCTGCTAAAGCCAAGTAGATTTTTAATAAATGACTAGGAAACATTTTGGAAAGATGATAATAATGTAACAGAAGTATGTCAAATGTTGCTACTCAAACCCCTCAGAAAGAAGAAAAAGACGCTAGAATTTTACTCATATAGGTCAGAGTCTTCAAAGGAATGTCCTTAAAAACTCTGCATTGTCCATCTTTTTGCTTCCAGTGACATTAATGCTTTTTATAACTTGCTATTTCATTCCAGCTTATATTTGAAGTGGGACTAGAATCAGCATAAAGAGATAACAGAGGTGAAAAGGTATTACATCTCTTTCCTTCCCTTTTGTATAATATGGAGCTCCTCTTTAGCCCTTTCTCTAATCTAAGAAAAATATAGGTCCTAGACATTTCAAAGGTTAGAAATTTAATGGATGAGAGATAAATATATTCTGTAGCTTCTATAACTAGATACTACCCTGTGGGTGATCTCACAAGTCTCTGGGTTGATGACAAGTGCTTAGAAGTGTAAAATCAAGTCTGCCTGGAATTTTTGTTCACACCTTTTATTGAAGAGAGGGTTACCTCCCAGACACTCTTGGATAGATACCTTTCCCACCACTACCACCATGTCTGAATAATCTAACCCCCAAGAAATAGCAAAAATATTCAAGGGGAGAGAGGTCAGGGTTATGTAGAGAAATTACACCTCAAACCAGACTGTTAGTACCTAAGGTATTTAAACCTCCTGGTAGATATGACAGTGTGCAATGTGAAATTTCTATTATCAGAAATTTTATTCATGTATCTCTTCTCAAAATACACCTAAGTTCATCATCTCATTTGGTTCTTACAATTTTTAAAGTCCCCACATTTAGATAAGACTGAATCATGGGAAAAGAAGTATCTGTTGGGAAGTTAAAATTCCCTAGGAAACAGTGAACTTAAAGCCTAGAGTTAGTATTCAAATTTGCTTTGACACGGCCTTGATGGCTCAGGATATTGCCTTACTATAATCTGTGCTATTAACATAGCACAGAAGCAAAATATTTAAAACCACAATAAAATATCTCAATTATGGGGCAGATAAATGTAACTTGAGACATCACAAGGTACCATTGCATTCTAGCATTCCTTGGAGCAATTGGTTCACTGGGCACTCTCCCTTGTGCTGAAAGGGGCCCAGGCAGAATGATTCCAATGTCTGGATATGTTTGGAATTGCTTTCTTGAGGCAATCTACCTGGGGCTTTTGTCCTGGTTGTTGGGTGAGTTCCTTAATGCCTCTCTACCTTGCAGCTGCTAGGGCTGGGAGGCTCAACATAGCTTCTCATTCACTTGTCTAGTTCCTGGAATGAGATGGATAGACCAGCTGAATCTAGCCAGGCATTGTTTCCTATCCTTGTGGCCTCCCCATATAGCTAGCTTTGACTTTCCTACAGAATGATGAGCTCAGGCCGAGTGCAGTAGCTCACACCTGTAATCCCAGCATTTTGGGAGGCCAAGGAGGGCAGATCATCTGAGGACAGGAGTTCAAGACCAGCTTGGTCAACATGGTGAAACCCGTTTCTACTAAAAATACAAAAATTAACTGAGCATGGTGGTGGACACCTGTAATCCCAGCTACTTGGGAGGCTGAGGCAGGAGAGTCGCTTGAATCTGGGAGATGGATGTTGCAGTGAGCCGAGATCATGCCACTGCACTCTAGCCTGGATGACAGAGCAAGACTCCTTCTCAAAAAAAGAAAGGAAAAATAAATAAAGAAATACAATAATGGTGAGCTCAGAGTAGCTTCCTACAGGACAGCTGGTTTCTCCCAGAGTGACCAGGTCACCACTGGGAAGAATTATCAAAGATTCTTATAAAGCCTCAGAACATTACTTCCACTGCATTACATTATTGAAGCAAAACACCAAGGCCTGCCCAGGTTTAAAAGAAGGAATTAGACTCTACCTTACAATGGGGGAAGCAGCAAAGAATTTTCAGCACCTGTAATGTAGTATCTATGAAACAAAAAGACACTCACAGTGAGGGTGTGTGTGTATGTGTGTGTGTGTGTGTGTATATATATATATATATATATATATAAATTTTGTTCCTCTCTTATGTACTTTGGCAAAGGCACTCATTATTTGTCCCAATTTTTTTCAACTGCAAAGTTGTAATAATGATCCCTGCCTCCTTCTCTTTACTAGTAATAATGACACAATACAAAAGGTAAAAATATTGACAGTATATTAAGCTGTTTAAACAAAAAATATATACTACATAAAAAAGAATAGCATCAGACCTAATACCATTACCTTTGGATTAAGACAGAAGTAATTTAACATAGCTCTGCCACATTTTTCCATAGGGCCATTGACAAACTAACTAATATAAGTGAACCTCTATTTCCACACTTCTAAAATACGGAAGAGCCATAAGAAATCCAACCTCAATGTTTATTTTATTTAACATACTTAACACAATTCCTGTTATACAGCACACAATAAATATTAGCATATTGCTAGTGTAAGTTCTTCCTATCAACTGTGAATTCATGAAGGTAAACTTCTGATGGCAAATGTAGGACTCACTTTATATATATTGATAAATATCAGACTCTATTCAATACCTTGGAGATGTCATCTTTTTGCAGAGGCAATGTGCCATAAGAAATTTTTGTCTTCTCTTTGTTTTTTCAATCAGTGCACAATACACTTCTTGTTACTGAAAGACACCAGTAGGGAGGTCAATATAATTAAAAGATTGATCTTCTGGAAACAATGCTTAATAACAGGCATGAAAAAGGGAGAGTGATTTTGCATTTTCAAACACTGTCCTCAAGTTAATTTAACCTGAGCTGTTTGTGAGCCATCTAAAAAGTCTAGGATCAATATGTCCAGGCTGAAATCAATGGACCAAAGAGAAAAGGAGACAAACTCCAATTGGCTAGTTCATTCAGGTCGGTGACAGCCTTGTGAAAGACACTTGGTGGAACATCCATTTCATATGCTCCAGATGCTAACAGCTTAGATATAAAGGGCAATTGTTGTATTTTGCTTGTTCTCTAAAGTAGAAATCAATTATATATGTTTACTTGCAGATACACATAAACAAACACATTTTTATGTTAAAAAGTAAAAAAAAGAGTGGTTCTGAGAACCTTCTTTTTTATTCCAAAATCTCTAAACAGAAACAAACAAACAAACAAATAGACCTTCAATAATCATCTACTGCATTGGTTTTCAAACTTTTGTCACCTAAGGATCTTCGGAACATCACATTTTTATTATCACATTTTGATCTTTTTATTTATGTTCTTATGGTTCTTGGCCAGTAGTCCTCTAAACTTGATTTTTTTTCCAAGCCAATTTCTCTTTTGTTCTATCAGTCTCTAATAGTTATTTTTTGTCAGAAACTATTTCAGTTCAACATTCACTGAGAGCTGAGCATGAGCAAAGCCTGGCATAAGATGTTCTCCCAATGTTGTAACCTCTGGGACATATATATTCTCTCTTCTTCCTTAACAGGAATTTGTATGAAAGATGCCAAAAGACTTACACAGTACTTCCAGGTTATTATGGATTGTTAGGTCTAACACAAACCATAAATGAATGTCAAAAGGAATACAAAAACAGAGGTCAACAGAATTTCCTGAATGGTCATATGATCCAGTTTGCAGGAAATTTGAAATTTTTTTGCTTCTGTAAGTTATTCAAGCCCATAATAACCTACACAGAAATCAAGTAAAATACTCCTGACCCAAATATTTCAGTGATTTTTTTTCTAGGTCATTGTAATTGTATAAACATAAATAATATTGTATGCAATTATTCAATGTAAAAAACACAGCACAATCATGAGGGTGGATGCAAATTTATTTCATACTCATTTTGTATTCACATAACTTTCACTAAAGCAAAAACATTTATTGTTCATGTGGGATATATCACGAACATTAGAACACATTATCCAACTAACTTATTTATGTGGAAATTTACATATGTCATCTTCACTTTCAATTAGCATCTAAGAAATTTTTGAGGAACCCGAGAGCTCACCATCAAAACAATATACCCATGTAACAAACTGCACATGTCTAAAATACAAGCTGAAATTATTTTTTAGAAAAGAAGCTTACCAGTTAGTTGCAAGCAGAAACACGAAGAATGGCATGGCAAAAAAAGGTAAATTCGACTTTTCTGATTGAATTATATGTTGGAAAATACAAAAATTAAACTTTTCTACTATTACATTTTTCACAAAAATATAGATGAGAAAGCCATTTAGGGACAGAATGAACTCTACATAGAGGAATGGAATGGGTTGTTGGGTGATTATACAACTTTAAACAATTTAACCACTGACAATATTAAAATTAATATTTAGCAAATAACTCTCTCTGAATCTAGTGGAATATGTGAGAAATATGAGGTACGCCCTCCATAAGCTTCATAAAATAAATATTAGTAACAAAGTGAATGAAATAATTAAATAATTACAGTATGGGCCAGAGGGTTCTGTTTAGTTGGCCTTTCTTGTGATGCTGTTCCTAAATATCCTAAAAAGCTTAGCAGCTAATTATTCACCAAAAATAACCCCAAATCAAATTCAAAATTTTGACTTTCTTGGACAAAGTACAGAGAGTCAAAAACCCAAGTAGACAATGTTCTTATTTTTTATTAAAGGTAAAACTCTCAAACCTATTTATGTTGCTATTATGATATAAAATGTTACATATTCTTTACAGGAATCTGGTCTGTGAAAATCTAGTTATTAGTTTCACAAATGATTTCCCATAAAATTCCTTTAAATAGTATACTCTTATAACACATTTAAAATTGATTATCGCCACAAAGCTTAATTCACAAAGAATAGTTAATATATGATATATAGCCGTTGTTTTATGTATATCTATTTTCTCAATATTTTACATTTGTATAACTCATTACAGTTTAATGTGTTTAAAACAAATTATTTTATTTTATGTATTTGATAATTATTTTAAAAAGCCTTTTAAAGTTGTTAGGGAAATTATTATTGTCACCCATTTCATAGGGAGGGAATTGGGGCTGAGAAAGGTGAATTTTTCAAAAGTTAACCAGCTTCTAACAGACAAAGTCATTGCCACACCCCAGGTCTTCTATTCTAGACTTATAATTCTTTCCATACTGTCACAATATGACTCAAATTTTAAAATATCAGGGGTCCTTCCTATTGCTAATAACATTTCTTTGTGAACTGATATACAGTTTCAAATCCCTTGTTAATGTTTCTTCTTATTTTAGGATTTTAATTCCAGACTAGACATACTGTGAAATATTTAATTCAATTCCTTCATTGGATTACAACTATCTGTAAAAAATCATATAGATAAATCTTCTCTCATATTTAATAATCTACTGTTTATACTATATTTTCTGAGTTTTCAGTCCATTGTTTCTTTTCAGTAATGATTATCTTCAGATATTACCGAGTACAAAACTTCCAGTATCTAAATTGTCACCTGATCTGGTAAAATATCTGAGTTTAAAAATAAAAAACTCCTCATGAAACTCATCTCCAATAAAATTAATTTTTCATAGTTACATGTTTTTCTATTATACTGTTCCAACTCTATTTATACGCATTCTCTAGGTGCTTATGCTCTTCCTGATACCACAGTACCTGTGCACTTTGATATGTATGTGATCTGTGATCCTTGAGCACTCAGAGGAATGTTCAACATAGTTAAAATCATTCTCAGAAATAAAAGATGTCAGAAATTCCTTTCTCACGTATGTTTATTGCAGCACTGTTCACAATACCAAAGACTTGGAACCAGCCCAAATGCCCATCAATGATAGACTGGATCAAGAAAATGTGGCACATATACACCATGGAATACTATGCAGCCATAAAAAAGGATGAGTTCTTGTCGTTTGAAAAAAAAGGATGAGTTCGTGTCCTTTGCAGGGACATGGATGAAGATGGAAACCATCACTCTCAGCAAACTAACACATGAACAGAAAACCAAACACAGCATGTTCTCACTCATAAGTGGGAGCTGAACAATGAGAACACATGGACACAGTGAGGGGAACATCACACATCGGGGCCTTTCAGGGGTGGGGGGCTAGGGGAAGGATAGCATTAGGAGAAATACCTAATGTAGATGACGGGTTGGTGGGTCCAGCAAACCACCATGGCACAAGTATACCTATGTAACAAACCTGCACGTTCTGCACATGTACCCTAGAACTTACTGTATAATTTAAAAAACACACATTAAACTATGAGAAAGAAAAAAGAAAAAAAAGAAATACCTTTCTAGTAGTCCTACTTTTCTTCAAAATGGCTCAATATATTATCACATATGGTATCTCAATTGCACTCTCAATTTTACTGTTACAGATCTAACAGATATGAGGAAGATCTTATTCATTGTTTACCATAAGGAAAATCGTAACAAAAGATTTTGAGCAACACAATACAAGTTTTAAGGCATTTGGATAATCTTATTTATTATATTCAACTTCTCTTGACTCAGTACTAATGTATAGGTTTGTATTGTGTTTTTATAATCAAAAAGCAAACTATTTTTCCAAAATGTATTCCACATAATCTAATAAAATGAACATGTGCCTAATTACAGAAACCACCAATTTGAAACCATGACATTCCTGGGCATTCACGGTGATTCTGCCTTGTGATTTTAGTTCTTTCCTTCCTTGAGAAGTGGGATTTCTGGGCTGTCCAGGAATTAGAGTGTCTGTATTCTACATGATAATTAGCATGCCCAATTCTTAATCACTTGGCTTTCAATTGTGACAGGACTGACAGAATGAAGACCCTCGAGTTATTAGCAAGAAGATGTTAGATTAAATCTTTCCTGTATCACCCATGAGTGGAAGTCAAATTTATCTCAGAGCTCATATTCAATACATCCTTAATTTTCCCATCCTTCTTAGGCTTCTCCAAAATCAACTTCCTTTTTGTACTGTGCCCACCATATTCCAACCAATCCATTATTTTCAGGCGCCCATAAAAAATTTATGGCAGGAATGTTGAGGCATTTATTTCATCAAGTTAGTACAGCCCAGTTTGTAAGGTTCATAGTATTTTCTTTCTCTTCTCTGTTTTCTCTCCCTTTAGATATTGTAATTTCCACTTGGGTGACAGATCTCTGTATTAGACTCTTTACCTTACTTCTTTCCTGGAATACTAAGCCAAGTGATAACATTTAGTTACTTTTCTTAACTATGAGAAATTAAAGTAATTTTATGTTTGGATCTTTGGATTCTTTGTCCACTTCACCTATTTTGATGACTAAGTTTCATTTCATTCAACATAAGACATGTGAATCATATTCATACTTTTTACCTTAGTACAATCTGTGACATTCTGACAAAGACAGGGAAAAAAATTCCTGCGTTTCCAATCACTTTTTGGGAAGAGAGTGCTTTGTCTCAACAGCATTAGTATAGTACTTTGTACTTTTAAAGAGAGTACAAATACATTATGCTATCTGATCCTCTTAAAAACCCTCTGAGATAGGCTGGACACATTAAAGACAAAGGCATAGGCTCAAAGAGATTTTCTAACAAAGCTGGTTAGTTAGTGGCAAAATTAGATCTCCTGATGCTTAGCCTGTGCTCTTTCTGCTACACTGAAGGCTTAGCTGAAAAAGTTGAAAGGAAAATTTTCTAAGGCTTGCAATATATCATTTTTAAAAGTTTTTTTCTTATTTTTTAAGATAAAAAAACCCGCCTTCACTTTAGATAAGTTGTAAAACCTTGAAAATATAAATAGATTGAAACTCACCAATAATGTTACTATCTGAAGGAAAACTTTTTCCATAAATATATTCATTTATATTTACATAGTTGACATCATTAAAATTATAACTCAATTTCCTATTAACACTATCAATTTCTATTTATATCAAATATATTAATGTCTTTGAATATTTTTGAGACATTTCAAAAAAGGCTATATAATATTTTATCACCTGCATACACCATCATTACTTTTACCATTTTATTATTGGGCAATCAAGTTCTTTCTAATTTTTCACATAATAAATAATAATGTAATAACCTTGCAATTACATCTATGTTGAAAATCAAAGAATTACTAGTCATAGGATATAAATATTTTTAAAATCTTTGCTGCATACTGCCAAATGATTTTCTAAAGCTTTGATCAATTTACATTGTTCCAACAGTGTAGGTAAATATCCAGCATTAAATTGCGTAGCTTAATTTTTGAAATTTGACCAACTTGTCAACTTGTTTTGTTTCACATTCTTTTGATTACTAATGCTTTGTTTTCAGTTTTACTAAGAAATTTTTCGTTCACTTTCCTGCATGATATTTTAAACATACTTGTCCTTCTTACGCCTTTAATTTTTGCACTATCTCAAATCACTCATCCCTTACTGTGTCCTTAGGTCAGTGGGTTTTTAGCCTTATGCACTAGAGAAAACTTCTCGAGATAAGTACTTAAATCATAATTAGCCATGTGTTCGTCAATATTCTCTTCTACTGGGGTAGAAAACAATTTTTCAGGTTTTCCCAAGAACTGATGCTGCCAACTTCTGTGATGCTACAGAGAATGACAGCTCACTATAATAAAGCCTTATAAGTTAAAAGGTTGATTCAATTCAATTCCATTTCTTCTTCCTTATAATTGCTGGAAATCCCACTCTTCCCTGGTTAAGTCGCTAAGAAAAAATAAACGTAATTGCCTACATGCTACTTTACTTTATTTTACATTTTATGTATTTAAGAGCCATATAAAAACAGGGTCATTTTTATATATTCTTCTGGGATTGCTTACTTAACGTACTTCTGTGTTTATCTATGTAGATGCATATATCCATAGCTTATTTTTATTGCTGTACAGTATTTCATTGTGTAACAATACAATTTATTGGACCAGGTGCAGTGGCTCACGCCTGTAATCCCAGCACTTTGGGAGACCAAGGCTGGTGGATCACTTGAAGTCAGGAATTCAAGACCATCCTGACCAACATGGTGAAACCCCGTCTCTACTAAAAATACAAAATTAGTCTGGCATGGTGGCGCATGCCTGTAATCCCTGCTACTTGGGAGGCTGAGGCAGGAGAATCACTTGAATCTGGGAGACAGAGGTTGCAGTGAGCCAAGATTATGCCACTGCACTCTAGCCTGGGCAGTAAGAGAGAAACTCCGTCACAAAAAAAAAAAAAAAAAAAAAAAAAAAAAAAAAAAAAAAATTATTTAAGGATTCTTCTAAACATGACTATTTGAGCAGTTTTCAGTTCTTTGTCACTAACTTATGCTATGGGCATTTTGTGCATATTTCCTGGTGGCCATTTGCAAAAACTTTCCCAGAGTAAATAAATATAATTATTGGATTATAGGTTGTCCTCTTGGGAAGAGGCATAATAAAACCTATATAAAATAATTATATTCTCAATCATAAATGAGGTGCTCACAACTTTCTTGGTTGCTATAATTAAGGCAAGATAAGAAATTAGTTTCAAAAGACTTATTTTTTTAAAAAAAGAAGAGAAACAACAACAAATAAAAAACAGAGCCACCTCCAAGTTTAACCCAGTTCTTATTTCCTTTGAATTTTCTTCCAAAATTATATATTATGCCATCAGAGCCTAGTGGTGATGCATGCATTGTGGACAACTGCCTTCAAACATATCCCAGGATGCCATCTTAGCACAGCAGTAGTATAAATGACCTAGGAAAGACACACTATACAGTGCCAGTCTATGGGCTTTCTAAAGCAGGAAGAGTGGTGAGCATTCGTTATTGATTACATTTATTTAATACTCCCATGGTGTCAAAATTTGGATTCAGGAAGCAATAAAGCGAATGAAACTGGAAAGCCTAAGCTTGAAAATCCAAGTAGATCCACAAGGTAAGGCAAAAGCCAGGTGTCAGAATGTGGAATAAGGAAAGGAGTGAACTATTTCAGATAGGAGCGCTCAGAGATAAGTGACCAAATGAGGGTCAGAGGACAGATGAGCGTACTCAGATGACATATGCAGAATGACCATGAGTCAGCAGACAAAACACACAGAGATCTAAGCAACTGTCTACTCCAGCAAGGCAACCAAAGGCAGCCCATCTGAAGGCAAGTTGTAGAGCACCCAGAAGTCATGTGTGTGTTAGAAAAGCCTAGCAACAGTTCTCACAATTGTGATCAGTTGGAGAAAATATTATTCCTAAAACTGCCCCTTAGGGAGAAGGCTGTATTTGCTTGAAAGGCAAGCAGTGACAAGTGTTTTTGGGGAAAAAAAGCTCAAATATTAAAGGCACCGATAGTGATCAAAATTTTAGAGGAAGGAATGAATCCAATTCTACCCGAGGAACATTAAAGGAATGTTTTTCTCCTGAGAAGGAGAGAAAATAAAAATAGTTAGAAGAAAGGAGAGTTAGGGAAGGAGGAGAAACAATATGCAGGGCTCAATTAAAAGCCTTTTCATAGACATGGAGTCAATCCAAATGCCCATCAATAATACAGTGGATAAAGAAAATGTGGTACATATACACCATGGAATACTATTCAGCCATAAAAAGGAACCACATCAAGTCCTTTACAGGGACATGGATGAAGCTGGAAGCCATTATCCTCAGCAAACTAACACAGGAACAGAAAACCATACACCACATGTTCTCACTCATAAGTGACAGCTGAACAATAAGAACACATGGACACAAGGAGGGGAACAACACACACTGGGGCCTGTCAGGGGGTAGGATTGAGGGCGGGAGAGCATTAGGAAAAACTCCTAATGCATGCTGGGCTTAATACCTAGGTGATGAGTTGATAGGTGCAGCAAACCACCAGGACACACATTTACCTATGTAACAAACCTGCACAACCTGCACATGTACCCTGGAATTTTAAATTAAATAATCCTTTCCAAAACTGCTTCTGTAAACCTTCAACATTTTTCTCATGAAGTTTATGTGTGAGTATGTTTTTTAAAAAAATCAAATCCTGTTAAAGAGATGAGTTTCAAATCTGCATGGAGCTAGGGTGAGATCAGGGCAGTGTGCAAAGTAGGGGTTAAAAATGGAGGTAACAAAGGGGAGATAAGTACTAGGGATCTTTCAACCATCACAGTGAAAACTTTTAGTCTGTTGCCAGCTACAGTCTGATGAGCAGTTTAAATTCTAATGTACTGCCAGGTTAGACACAAAAATTGTTCCAGGGCCAGAAGTTGGTTTGAGCCCATAGGGGCAGAGTGGAATGGTTTGTTATGTTAGGATTAAAAGAATTCAGACAAGGGGTCAAATTCATAGCACACATGAGTCAAAACGGGCATGTGGAATCAGTGTAAATGCCAAACACTGCCTTAAAAGATAAGCAAGGATGACGTTAACAATAATGTGTACAAATATATAATATGGGTTATTTTTAAAGTTAGCCTAATTAAGATTTTTGAAACAATTTTCTTTGTTACATTTGTTTTATGCTAAAGATTTTCCACATAATCTGAATGAAGGTATTAAAGAGAAATTGTGAAGGAGTGCATGATGGAAAAATTGAAAACCAGCAACACAAAACAAACTCTGAAAAGACAGGCAGAGAGAGAGTGTTAGGAGATAATGGAGAGAGACCAGATGAGAAGAGGTGGGCCAAGCAAACTGCAACATCCAACACATCCAGCCAGATTAGCCTTCTCGCAGATTTAATTTTGCCATATTTCCATGTTTGCATGCTTTTAATAAGGGCTATAAATAACCTTTAATATGGTTAGGTTGAAAAATAGGGAGGAAATGAAAGGTAGGATTTAACTTAAAGTCATATTTTATTGAACGATTTTGTAATCACCAGATACCTTTCCTGTATTGTAAAAAGCAAACAAACAAACAAAGATTAGGACCATCTTCCTAGTCCTGTGAGTAGCATTTGTCATGACCAATCAGCTGCTTCTTTGCACTTTTCTTTCCTCTCTTTGTATATTGATCTTCTGATTGTCTCGCTTTTTGTCCTGACTCTCAACTCTGTGTGTTTTCCAGCCCGATTTTAACATGAGTATTCCTAAAAGTTCTCGCCATGGACTTATCTCTTCTCAAACTATACTTTCTATTGAGAACAGCACAGTTTCGAGACTAAAAATACATAGTTTGAAGATAGCCTGTCTGGATTTGAATCCTCACTGTACAACACACATAGAAATACTCTCTCTGGGCCTCTCTTTCTCCATTTATAAGATGGTAACAATAACAGCACCTTCCTCTCAAGGCTGCTGTGAACGTAAATAATTTAAAGTATGACAAATGCTTAGGACAATGTCTGGCATACAATACAATTAATACTTTGGCCTTGCTATGATGATGCTTAGAAAAAGGTTACATCCATTCCTGTATCTTCAAATTCTGGCCATCCTGAGAATAATTTTTGATTCTGTTTTTCCTCCAATTCTTCACCTGTAACTTTACTCCTGCAGTGATAAATTCCTGTTGGGTATTGCTACCTGATCATTCTGCCAGCACCTCCACTGAACATAACCAAATCTGAAGTCAGTCCTCGGTTTTTTTTTCCTCTGATTATTCTTCTGACACTATTCTCTTTTTGCTTTTTTGTTTTTAATGATATGACAGTCTTTCCACTAATCGACCCTTAAAATTTCTTGGTCAACTTACATATCTTATTCTTCAACTTCCACATCTCATCTGCCTTTAAGTTCTAGCTTCCTTTCACAAATGCTCGTCATATGCATTCACTTTTTCTATTTCCTCTTCACTGCCTAAATCCAGACACTCATCATTGTTTATCTGAATTAGTCCACATTATCTGTGAACTGATATCCTTACTTCTATCATCTCTTCGACGCATCTGCATGAGCAGCACATGTTAAAACTGCGCTAATCATTCCTTGCTCAAATTACATTTAAAAGTTGTCATATTTAAGAGTACTTTAAAATTCATTAGTTTGATTTTTGTATTACTTTATTTTTCTTTTTAGAAATTGTATGTATTTAAATATGCTTTATCATCTACCCACAAGCTATGTCTCCATATTTGTCTTCCATGACAATTAAAGCCTTCTCTGCTCCAGTCATGTCCACAGCTCAGAGATCCCCAATCATGCCTAGGTTTCTCACCACCATGTTTTGCTAACTGGAATACATTTCTCCCTTATTTCAGCTTATCAAAATTTTTCCCAACATTTGAGACCCAATCCAAATTCCTTTTCTGCATGAAGCTTTTCTGTTCCCCTGGTACAGTAGATCCAGCATTTCTTTCCTTTTTCCAATCCTAGCACTTATTTAGAATTGATAAAAAGCTGTCATGCTATGTACCAGAAAGCACAAACAATATACTTTAAAAAGGGTTGGATATCATAGGACTGTCATTTACATTACTCATAATATCTCTATAATGTAGGTAAGTATATATTGCATGTTCAAATTATTTATATTTGCATGTGCAAAAATTGAAGATGAAAGGTTAAACAAGTTTCCCAATTATATTCCTAGAAACAGCCAGAAACAAGAAAGCATACCAAATATGTGTGTCTCTTAAATCTGTGCTCATTAGCATTAATTTTGGTAGTTTTTAAAGGATCACCTACATCAGAGGCATCTTGAGGTGCTTACTAAAACGTAAATTCCTACTTACATGGCTACTGGGGAAGGGATCAGACTCTGCGTCTTTAATAATTTATCCAGGTGATTCTCATGTACTGTACAATTTGCAAAATAGTTCATTGAACCTTTTTTATTATCTATTACTATATATATTAAATTCAGTGAAGGATTAGTTTCTTGTGGGCAAAAATCATGTCTTATTTCAAATATGTACCTATAACAGTTCATAGTACAGTGCCTGATACATAATATATGCTCAATAAATTTTGGTTGAATTATTGCCAATTTCTATGTTTCACCACAGCAAAAATTATTATAAACCCATCAGCGGTCAGTAATATATTTGCCTTATGTGGCAAGCTGTAAGAAATATATTCGAAGATTTAACATATACACAGAAATACACTCACATATGCATATTAACTGCAGAATATTTGGAAGAATACAGAAAAACAGAAGAATGAAGATCACCCAAGGAGAAAGCCTTTTGTCATATTTATGTATTTCTTTAGGAATTCCCTCTATATTATGTATAGGTCATATTTATACATATGTAGATTATATATATATAAACACTTGCTTACAAAATAGAAAAACGGTAATGTTTCTGTCAATTTCTACTTGATATAAAATCTGGTGCTACTCTTATTTAAGTGCAACTGTCTATATAATGACCTTTTCTTTGCAATGTTGTTTCCAGATTCTTGTGGGGCTTCCAAAATAATATAAAAGTCTCCTCACCTTCTTTCAGGAAGAATCACAGAAGCTTAGAAGTGAAGTAGACAATGATTTAACTTTCAGTGGCTTCTTATCATTGTGTTGACTTTATTTGGTGAAGACATGAGGTTCAGCACAACCTGTATTAGAAGGGTCTCTCTCATATTAACGACATATGATGCACCACCCGGGTTAACAGAAACAAAACTTCAAAAGCGTTTCAGAAGAGGAAGAAACTGTAACTCTGTCACCTGAGGCTCTGCATACCCTTGAACATCTCTTACTTCTTTCCTGAGGATAAAAATAATGGTAATTCCAAGGCGATAAGTAAAATGATCCATCTTTGAAACTTTGACTCAAGAATAGAAACTCTTTTATCTGATTCTCTTCTCACATCTAAGAGGAATTCATATTTTCAAATTTTTCACCTGCTAACGGTGAAAAAGGCACATTATCCTAGTAGGGATAGGGGAGTTTAAAGCAAAAGATGGCAGATTCACTAACTCGTTACCTACTCCCTCTCCCAAAAGTCCCTTACAAGGACAGTAACAAGATTAATGCATGAAATCAAAAGAACAAAAATAATACAAAAGGAGATCATAGCAAAAGCTTTTTGGAAATGGATACAGCAGAAAGATGAATGACAATTCATTAGCAGATGCAAATAGCCAAGTCTCGGGATGGCATTTAGGAAAAATTAAGAGGCAGCAGAAATTGTGCTGAAGGTCCCAAAATGTTCATAGAATGTTTATTTCAAGTCTTTCTAGAAGTACGATAAAAAGTAGAGTTGAACACAAGTCGATTTGTTAAACTCTCAGAAGATAGGTCCTTAAATTTCTTTCAGCAGCCCACCAAGCTGAAAATGGCTCATTCAAAACCTTCACATAAGACCAGAGGAACATGCTCTCGAAGTACTGATACAAATGGGACACCTGCCTCACACTGTATACAGAAATTAAACCCATATCTGTTGAACATCAGCGCTGTCACTTACCATTATACTACACTGTTGGTCACTTTTTTCATACACTTCTATTGCCAGTAATAATAACAAGGAAGAACAAATTTGGATACACTTTCACATGGGATCTTACTATTAGCAAATTCTTTTTCTCTTGACATTTTGGAGATGGTTTTATGTTTGTACCTCAGTCTTTATAACAGCTGCATCCCTATTCCTATAAGAAATGTGTCATATTTTGTTATTTTCTCACTCTTATTTTGTCATGTAGCCTGTTCCCATTTTTCTATATTACCATAATTATTAAAGTGAACATGCTTGTGCAGTTTTTCCTATTTTGCCCTTGCACTGTAAATTCACTAAGACATATTTCTAGAGAGAGAATTGTTGGTTCTAAGGGTATGTGTGTTTTAAATTTTGAGATATACTGCCACATTGCCCTCCAAAAGAGGTTTTACTGCTTTATACTAACACTATAATTACAAGAAAGGGGCTATTTCTTGAATATCACCCATCACTTAAAATTGTATCAACATTTTAAGTTTTGGTCAATCTTATATGTGAATAGATCTCATTTTAAAAGTTTAATTTCTGGTATTAGAGAAGTTGAACATCTTCTCCTCTGCTAATGACCACTTGTGTTTCTTCCATGAATTCTACTGTACCCAAATATTTCTCCCTTGCACACTATTACTATGGGTAAGCCCTCTGTGCCATGCCTAAAGCCTACCCTTTGATTAGCATTAGGTGCCATCCTTCATCTACATAGGGCCCCAGCAGTACTCTTGTTTTGTTTCCTAAATCATTTTTCTCTCTTCGTTGAATTATTTCAACCAGCATATAAACATGCCATAATTTCTCCAAAAGAAAAAATTTTTTGTGATCTTCAACTTCCATTCACCTACTAACCCATGATGTTGTACCCCTTTCAGCCAAACCCCTTTCTCATTGTTTCCAAATCCTCTCCTTCAGTTCTCTCTTGTACCTATTCCAATCAGGTGTTATTCCTCACCATTCTATCAAAACAGCTCTTGTCTATGGCATCCATCATTTTCATGCTGCTAAATTCAATATCTTACTCTCAGTCCTCATCTTCCTCTACCTTTCTGCACCATTTGACACAGTTGCTTACTCCCTCCCTCCTGAAACTCTGATCACTTGATGTCCAGGAACTCACTTTCTAAGTTCTTCTCATGTGTCATTTGGGGGCTCCACCTTCATCGCTTTCACTGATGCTCTGCTTTTTGGACTACACCTGACCTGCTTCTTGAACCTCTTCCTCATTCCTCTCACAGGTTTCCCCATCTCAGCAAATGGCAGTATTACTCTTCCAGTTACTCCAGTCAAAATCCTTGCTGTTATTTTACCCATTTTCTCTCAAATTTAAGATTAAATCCATCAGCATTTCACATTAAATCTCCCTAAATAATATGTCCAAAATCTAACCATCTATCTTCTCCATCACATCTACCCCTATAGTTCAAGGGAGAGTATCTCTTCCCTGGATTATTGCAATAGCTTCTCATCTTGCCTCATTTCTACCCGGTACATCTCCCTGCAGTATATCTTCTATGAAGAAATCAGAGGAACCCTTTAAACATGTAAGTCAGACCAGGTAATTCCTATGTTCAAAATCTGCAGTTGATTCCCATATCACTCAGGACAAAAGCCAACAGCCTTACAAGGATCTACAAAATATTACATGATCTCATTTTCTACTGCTCTATGCCTTGCTGAATTTACTGTAGACACGCCATCTTTTTGAAAGTCCCTCAGATATGTCCAGTGTATTTCACTCTTTGAGTCTTTGCTCTTGCCTCCTTGCTTCTTTTGGATATTTTCTTAAATTTCATCTCATCAGAGAGACCTTCACTGATGTACTCTGTCTTTTAAAATATTATTTATTATTTACATGATTTACACATATAAAAAATTCAAGCAGCACTTAAATGTGTAATGAAGAAAAATATTACCCCAAACCCTAACATTTATAAAAAAATTATTAACTAATCAGCTTTCTGTTCTTGCAAATGAAGACATATGTGTTTAGAGAAACTAGAATATTTCTGTTGAAAAGTATTACATTTTTTAAAAATGAGAAAGTGAAGTAAAACTAAACAAATGTTAAACATGTAATAAATGTTCCTTTACTGTAATATCTAGTATTTTTCAAAGTATCATGCAAGATTAAAAAGCGATTATGAAAATCATTAAGATAGTAAATAATTTACCTGTGGCCACACTGCTGGCAAATGATAGAACTGGCATTTGAATGGACACCTGTATCCCCAGTCCTTTTCTGATATATGTTTCAAAAACCACAAGATTTAGTTTTCAATGTAGTTCTTGTTATGATGTAATCAGCATTCTTATTTTGCCTTATCATCCAATTTTTACATTATAAATTTGATTTTATATTATTAGACTAATATTTAGATTCCATTGTACAACTATAGTTTTTATGGCATTTTAGTTTTAATTCAATGTTTAAATAGATTCAATCTTCCTGTCAGCTTTATCTGGCTTCTTCAGTCTTAAATTTTTTCATTTTTATTAATCTTTTAATGGGTTGAATTTTCTCTTCCTGATTTTTTGCAAGAATGCAGCATGGGTGCTTTATTTCCTGAGTTAGTTTATATTTGAGGCCGTTTCTTGGTTGAATTTGTATTTGAATATCTTTTCTGAGTATAGTCTTTTTGGATCATATTTTATTTTCCATAAACTAAATAGATGCTTCTCTGGTATATTCTGCCACTGAATGCTGTGGTGAAGTTATCTAGAACCAGCTTAATTCCCTACCCTTGCTTGTTTATACATAAGTTTTACCTAGAAGACGGAGAGATTCATTCATAATAACAAGAATATACACTGATATCAATTGTTTTGTATCAATTTCCTTAATTAAACCATATACTTTCAACATTAAATTCTCAAATTTTTCACTGTAGGGAAATCTCATATTTTTAAGTACCTTTTTTTTTTTTCTATCCATTGAATTTTCTACTCCAGAGACACAAGCTATCCTCCTGCTGGATTTTTACTGCTGTCTCTCTTATCTATTGTATTCGGTCTAATTTATATCTTTGCATTCTTTGTGATTACCGCAAATCTTTATAGACTATTAATGTTATTTCAGCCCTATCTATTCTATTATTTGGTTTACTTATTAGTTTGACTTTTCAATTTGCTGTCTTAGCACTGCAATTTCCTTTGTAATTTCATTCTGAATGAATTTCTAATTTTAGCAAGTTAATATTTTTACTGACTTGTTCAACAGCATGGAACACTTACAGTGTAATAGCTTGCACGTCTTGGATGTGTTTCACATTGTCTTCTTTTCCTAGATTGTTTTTACTATGATTTTTTTTTCTTTCTCCTGTTTCAGAGACACACAGCTACTCCTAACATCCATTCTTTCCTTCTACGAAGTAATAGGGGCCTAATTTTGGGTGCATGGCTATTTGAATTAAAATTCTCTTTTTCAGCCTCCTTTGGAGGTAGGTATGGTTATGAGGTTAAGGTTATGTTCTTGGCATTTGATGTAATTAGAAATGTCTTTAATGTCTTAGTCCTTTAAGAGGTGCTGTATGCCCTTTTTTCTCCTTTTCCTGCTGCCTGAAATATGAATACAAGGCTGTAACTTAAATGGTCATTTTAGAGCTGTCACTACATGTTGAAACCTGGATCTCCGATTACGTTGGTAGCAGCCTTAAAAATGTGGACATTTTTCTACAGACCCTTTTAACATGAGATTAATAATTATGTTGTTTAAATTGCCATATTTCAGAGTTTCTTTTGATTGTAGCTAAAACTAATCCTGCTAGTCTTCCTCCATTCCCTTTTCCCTGCCTGTCTCATTTTTCTTTCTTTTCTGGTTACTTCTTTGCATAATTTCAGACCATTTTTCTTTTTCATTTTGCTCACGCTTGGCAGTTCTGTTGCGGCTTTTTGGCTGTCATGTTCTGTGGGAGATTTCTCTGTTATTCCCTTCTGAGACGTCTTTGGGTTCCTCTCTGAGTTACAGTCTGTGAGCAGGGTTTTATGCTGTGTGCATTCCTCTGTAGCATGAGAGGTGAAGCACGTGTGTAGAAGTGGGACCTTCTGAGGCAGTGTGCCCCCTTGGAGATGGGGATACAGGTGTGCATTTAAGTGCCAATTCTATCATTTGCCAGCAGTGTGGCCACAGGTAAATTATTTAACTGTGCTGAATCCCAACTTCCCCATTAGTAAAGGGACGTAAAATATTAAATTCTTTCCTGCTTCACAGTGTTTGGAGGACCAAGTAAGACAATAAACTAAAGGTTTAGAACTTTGCTGGTGGATCTGCAGTCTGTGTCAGAGCATAGTTACCACTATCATTATCATCTATTCTGCCGCTGCTTCTTAGCTGTTGTTAAATGTTGTACATTGAGTATGCTCTACATAGTCAAGTGTGCATCATTTTGCCAGGATAGGTACCCTTGACCTTTGAGGCTTTCTGCCAATCTCGTGTGGGGTTCTGGAGTATTCCTGCTCCTCAGACATGCAGATATGTGTGCTTCCTTTCTAGTTGCTCTAGTTCTTCACCAGACATTTCCATTCCTTTCAAATCAGGAAAGAGAAATGCTAGTAGCACCCACTTATATCCCTTCTCTAAAGACTTGGGGATGTTAGTGAGAGTGTTTGAGATTCTGTCAACTCAAAAATGTAACATCATAAAAGTGAAAACAGGATTCATTTCTGTGGGACCCAAATCATCTGTTTCATTCCTTGGTCATGTTGAAGTTTATAAACTTTGCTTGTGATCTTCATTGTCTATTGTTCTTTTTGTTTTAGTTATGTTTTGTTCCTGCTTGTAGAAGATTTACATTTTTAATTTTTATTTAATTCAGTTTACCTTTTATTTTTTAGTTATGCCTTGTACAGAAGGCTTTCTTTCATTCTAGGATTAAAATATATTGTTTTTTATGCCATTTTTATATTTTGATAATGTTCAGTCTTTAAATTATCTGGAATTTGTTTTGTTGAGGACAGTTAAAGACATACAGTTGTCCTTGAATAAAACAGGTTTGAACTACATAGGTCCAAATATAGGCAGATTTTTTTTCAACCAAATTCAGATCAAAATACAGTATTCAAGGAATACAAAATCTGTGTTTAAGGAGAGACAACTTTTCATGTAAGTGGTTTCCTCAGGGCTGACTATGGGACTCAAATGTGCTCAGATTTTTCTAGGGGGTGGTGGTCGAGTTTTGGAACTAGTCTCCCACATACACTTCAAGATGACTATAATTTGTTAATTTTTTTCCAAATGAATAACTAATTTTATTAATACTATTCATTGAATTGGCTAACCTTTCACTGCCAGACTAGCAAGACTCCTTTATGTTAAACTGTTTCTACTTATATGAATCTGTTTCTGGATTATATTTTGTTCCATTTATCTATTTGTCTAGTATCGGCACACTGATATATGTCTAAATGATCATAGATTCGTCATATGAGAAAACCATAATCATGTATAATTATCATATATTGTAAAAATAAGTTATGACTATTACGTGAAGTATCATATATTGTATGAAATAAATTCTCTTATTTTCAGAATTTTTTCATTTTTGTGTGTATGTATTTGGTCTTTCAAATGATGTCAGATTTCCTGTTGAGGTTTTTACTGGGCTTTCTTTGTAATTTAAAATTATTTCTTATTCCTTTAGTATATGACATTCTGTTTCTTTAGGCTATTACATTCTTCAGTACAGTTTATGGTTATATTCACATAGGTCTTACCCATCACTTATTGATATGGGACGGGGGAAGGGAAGTGGTAGGTAGAGAAGAACGGGGTCCGTGGCCAGGGCTCCACCCTCAGGCCTGTGCCCACAGACCTAAGTGAGAACAGGCACTCCTGTTTTCAAGTCCAAATGTTTCATTTTCCAAGACCAGTCTGGCCCACCACACCTCCCTGTCCTATCCCCATATAAGCCCAAGACCTCAGCGGGCACACATACAAGTGGCTGGGTGTGGAGAGGAGCAGAAGAACACACCAGCAGACACTGGTAGACCAGTGACGGTAGAACGATGTGGACGCCAGGGAAGTTCAGCTGCGAGCCATCAAAGGAATCTGGCCTCTGGGCAGCCTGACTCCAGGGGAAAACCACTTTCCCACTCCATCTCCCTTCCAGATCCCTATCCCTCTAGCTAAGAGCCACCTCAACCACTCAATAAAACCTTGCACTCATTCTCTGAGCCCACAAGTGATCCGATGTTTTTGGTACACTAGGGTAAGAACCCAGGATACAGAAAGCCCTCTGTCCTTGTGATTAGGCAGAGGGTCTAATTGAGCTAATTAACACAAGCCACCTGCAGACAGCAAAGCTGAAAGACTGCACTGTAACACATGCCAACTTGGGCTTTGGGAGTTGTTAACACTCACCCCTAGATGGTACCGTGGGGTCAGAGCCCAAAAGCACTCCCCACGACCATGTGCCTGTCTGGTCTGCATGCTCCCCTAGGGGTTTGAGCAGTAGGGCACTGAAGAAGCAAGCCACACCCCTGTTGTACTCCCTGCCAAGGGAGATAAGGGAACTCTCCTATTTCATTATGAGATTACTTCAAATGTTCTTAATAGTTTTATTTGCTATTATGAAGGAGATCCTTTTGAACTTTTCTCTACCTTGTTATCAGTGTATATACAGTAAAGCTATTGATTTTCTAAGTTATATTTGGATCAACCACCATACTAAATTTTGATAGTTTCTTGTTACAGTTTTCCTGTTAATTCTCTGAATTTTGTAGTTTAAAATTTTGTCATCTAGTCTTCTCCTTGCCAATATTTATACTGCTTCTTCCTATTACTTTTATTATTGCCTGACTAGAACTATATTGAATAGTAGCTATCTTATTGCAAATTCCTTTTTTATATCCAGTTTTAATGAGAATTCTAATAATATTTCAACAGTAAATGTGAGTTTTGCTTTAGTTTTTACGGGTTTTCTAGTTTTTTCTTTATGGATATATTATCTGTTCTATTAGCTTTGTGAGACTTCTCTTTCTCCCCATATATATGTGGGGGGGATATATATATGTATAATCACACAACCACATTTGTATATATAAATAGTAGCTGCAAATTTAACTTAGATTACTTTTGTTTCCTTGTTTTATTTTTTATTTCATGTCCTTTTGTTGCTGTTATTGATATTATAGTAACGTATAACATGAACTAATATTTTTCAGGTGTTTTCTACATGCCAAGAACAGTTTCAAGTACATTATAAGTTTTAAGTCCATTAATCTTCACAAAGAAAACTAAAAAGAGATACTATTATTTTGACAAATAGATACAATAGATACTAGGCACCTAGGATGCTATAGTGTACAAAACAAACAAAAATCTGTTTTTATTGAACTTATGTTCTTTTAACTTCTTTATTTAGATACGAGAAACTGAGTGATTTAACCAAGGTAGAACAATTACCAAAAAGAAATGACATGGACTTAAAAATTAATAAATTCATTTTCAGAACTTAAAACTTTAAACCACTACCCTTTACAAATATTTGTTCACCTGATTCTACTAGGTATTTTGTTTGCAATAGCCTGGCAGTGTGGAGGAAGGTAGGCAATGATTCCTGGAGCTGTACACCGGCAAAGAAAAACAAAGCCAGGTACTAATTAAAGAGGTCAGAACAGGTTTTATTCAGTACCTTTTGGAAACGGACGAAGAGTCCAGTGTGAACTAAACCCTGGAAACAAAAGGCTAGATGTTTTTTAAAGGCTGGAGTGTGCTAAGAGCAAAGCACTGAGGGATGTTAAGGGAACCTCTCTTAACCATGGGACTACCTAGATTTGTAAATCAGTGCTCACTGGAAGAAGAAAGAAACTTCTACTTTCATGACAGAAGGCAATGGGGCAAGTTGAAGCAAGGTGCCCACTGAAAGTAGGTCCTATCCCCCCACGGGACTGGGAGTAGGAACATGAGTTATCTTCCCTGAATGTTCTCATTTCAAAAATACAACTCTGAGATCTTTAAGAAAACCATTTGGGGTCGTAGACTTACAGCTTTAAAGGCAGAGAAAGTATTCATAATTGCAAGCTTTCTAAAGTAACTGTTCTATAGGGGGTTCAGAGGCCTATCTGCATATCAACAAAGTTTGGCTGGAACAAACCATAAACTCACCTGCCAGCAGTGAGCTGAGGCAGGCATTTTAAAAGTAGAGGTTGGAGAGGTAGGGTCATCCTAAGGACACAGCCTTAAGCTGCCAGAAGTCATGCTAGAGTTTGCCAAGTCTCTCAGAGCAGAGGGTTGGATGGAGTTGTTATGGGCCAAGGGTCCTACAGTTCTTAACACCCATAGCTGTGGTCTGGTTGTGGAGGTTATCTGCCACTCCTGGGGTCTGTTACTACTTGGGCCACTGTACGTATGCTTGATGCTTTCTTCCAGGGATGCTTATCCTTGCTGTTTCTTATTAAGCCCAAGTCAGGGAAAGAGGGCTTAATTGCTATACATATATTAAACATTCCAATTGTTGCTTCTTACTGCTGTACTTCACTTGTGCTACTTCCAAACTAATCTCTATCTTTACAGCAGTCCACTTGCGGGTGATTTAGCAGGTTGTTCTGGTTTCACCTGTATGTCTGCATCATCCAATTTGTTTTCTACTTTTGGGTGATATCAACTATTCTTCTGCAGATGACAGTGTATCATGTTTTCCTACATTGCTATGGATTAATCCTCTAACTTTCTCTTTATTCTCTAGATCTTTATTTCCATCTCTAGGTACCATCTATTTGTATTTTTTGTAATCACATGGGACTTGGGCAGAACTCAGTGCTTGATTCTCTATCTTGATCTAGTCAGTCTTTCTTTTCAAAGTAGAATTGTGAACTTTGAAAAAAAATACCTATGAGCTTTATACCCTTAACAGAATATAGATTATGTTTTATTGAGTTGCATTTGTATCGTATTTGCTTATTTCATAGGCACTGAAATCTTTCCAGTCTTTTTTGGTATAGGTTCTTCTTATGAATACCCTTAAAAAGTGGAAGCTAGTTCTATTAGCCCTCAGTCTCAACAATAGCATAAATTTTGTAATTATGTCATTATCTGTGAATATTACATCATCGTTGAGGTTCATGTCTTCTATTTTAATAACATTCTGCAAACTCTTTATCACAGAGCTATAATCCTGGCTTATTTTTATATCTTCTATCATAGGTCTCAAAGAGCTTCTATAAACTCTAGCTACATCTCAAGGTTATTAATCTTATTTGGACACGAAGGACTTGACAGTCACAGGTTAAAAGCAGTGTGTGAGCAGCAGGAACTGAGTCCACACATCCTAATTCCTGTCCAGTGCCCCATTTACTGCTTAATCTTTCACAGGTCCTGTCTGAGGCATGCCACATTTATTTCACAGCTGCAGAGCCTAAAACAGTGTAATAAACAGAGGTACAAAATAATGATCCAAAATTCTAATCACAAATTACAATATTTAATTATTTGCTTCTTTTCAATATATCCCTTAATTAATTGAATCTAATATTCCTTTTTGACAAGCCAGCTCTTTTCATTACTTTTTAACAAATAACTACTAAATAACTCTGCTGGTCTAAGAACAATTGGCATAGATTTGAAAGCACACTTGCAATGAATTATTTCCAAATTGTAAATGAATTCTCTTTACGTCTTTCTCTTTACCTGACCCCCAAAACATAAACTCTGCTTTCTTATATTTTAAGCTGTCAGCTTTGACCCCATGTTCAATTTGGTGGGGGGTTGTTTGTTGTCATTGTTCCTCCGCTCATTTTTGAACTGAGAAATAAGATCATTTTTAAAAATCAGATACTTATGAAAATTCATCAAATAAGATCTATCTTAAAATTTAGTATATGAAAGATTTGATGTTGCCTTTCACCTACTGTGATAAATACTGGGAAGATTAGGAGAAGGTGACCTAAGTGTACCATTTTCTCTCTTCTATTAATTCCATTCAACTACACACACAGAGAGGTGGCAGATGACAGGTAAAGCTGAGAGCAGAGAGAATTTGCCATGCCTTCACAGGTTACGCTGTACTATGTGAGTGAGAACAATGGAAAGAAGAAATAATGGGAATATCTGGACTTCCAGAATTCTGAATAAAATAATGATTAGTCTGTGTTATGTCATTCCAAAGAAAAAAAAAACAGGAGGGCAGTGTATATTATGCACCAACCATGTGATAAGGTTTTCAAAACTTTAAAAATCATTTTCATGATTTTCTTCTTTTTGCAGAAATAAAGAATCCTATAGTCTTAAAAAGAAAGCAGCACTGGGAACAGCTTTTTTTTTTTTCAAAACTTTTATCATTGAAATAAACGCTAAGAAAAATGAGACACAGGAAAATGCCATTACAGAGAAGAGCGGAGTTAAGTATGGCTATGATCATACTTGAGAAATTCAGTTATATCAAACTGAAAATACATTAGCCGTGTTGATTAGATACAGAGGACGTGAAGTAGGTCTAATACAGCCCTAGATTCTTTTATTTAAAATTTTAGCAGGTATTGGTAACAGGTTGTTTTTCCCTGTTTGAATTGTTTTCCCTTACAATTAAGAAGGTTATATCTTAATTGTAAACATGGCTCTTTTCCAAATTTCTGTCAATATTTTCTAGCATCTCATGTCCAGAACTGGACCTCATGATTATTTTTAAATTATTCTAAATACAAGGATAGAGTTTTGTTTCTTTTGTTTTTGTCTTCTAAGCATATTTGAGTTTATAATATTTAAATTTTAAACTTTCTGTAATTTTGACTTCCTCAATATTTTTAATATTTATATCATATTTCACCATTTTTATGATTGCCTAAAATATTTTCTATAAATAATAAGATTATCAGTATTTTCAAGGTTGAGTAAATAGGCTAATTATATATCTTTATATTTGTATTGCTAAGGTCTGGTTTTATGGCTCGTCAAAATTCAGTATTAAGAGATAGATGACACTCAGGAAAAAAAACAGATAAAAATAAGAACAAAATAGTAATTATTGATGACTTTAAATTGTGTTCAACTATGTGTGTTCTATTTAGGTAAATAGCAATTATTGATATAATACCACATCCACTTAGTAATTAATATTTTTTCTTTTGGTTTTGGCCACATAGGAAATTTTACAAACCATGGAAACAGAACTCTCAAGTTTGCACTTAAAGTAATTAATCTGCAACTCATATCCATATTAAAATGAGTCTGATATTATTGACCCACTTCCCCTGAGCCAGCTTTCCCCTTTATCTTGTTCAGTCTGGCTTCCTCCCTAAATAAAATACTTAAACCACAGTTACTAAGGTCTTTAAATATCTTACATAATGTCTCTAAAATCTATCCCTGTGTCATGTACATATTCCAGTGGTTTACACTCTACTGTTGCCTAAGTCCTGCCACTTTAATAAGTTAATCCCCAGAATCCAGAACATATACATACCCATTCACACACATTATGCATTTTTATCATATTTTCTGGGCTATGAGGTCCTAATATTGAGGATATTTCAGCTGCAAGAAAAGTCTAGCTTAAATATGATGTAATTAACTAGCTCATGTAATGAAGTACAAGTGTAGGGTAGTTCTCTAGGTTAGTTGATTGAGAAACTCAATAATTTCCTCAAGTGTCCAGCCTCTTGTTATTACTTATCTCTGCAAACCACAGCCACATATAAGACTGGTTCTCTTAATGGTCTTAAAGTATCTCTGAGGAGGAAGATCTACATTGTTCCTTCTTCCTGTTCATAAGGATAGAAGGACATGCTCCCTGGAAGTTCTCTCTTAATTGTAAATATGACTCTTTTCCAAATTTCTGCCAATGTTTTCTAGCATCTCATCGCCAGAATAGGACCACATGATTATTTCTGAATCATTTCAAAGAGAATAGAGCTTTGTTCCTTTTGTTTTTTTGTCTTCTAAGTATATTTGAGTTTACAATTTTTAAATTTTGAACATTCTGTGATTTGTACTTCCTCATTTAAAAAAATTTATATCATATTTCACCATTTTTAATTGTCAATATATAATTTTCTATAAATAATATGATAAGTAATGAAAGGGCTGATTTATAGGGGTGGTTCTTTGTTTTATAAGTAAATGAGAAAAATGAATGATTTAAAAAAATTAAGTTCAAGGATGGTAAATGCAGAAGTTAAAGTACCTGCTTATAGAAACTGGTGATACTTTGAAGTTTTATTGTGGAATGAGAAACGGATATGACAAAACCTATTTTAATGAAGAATAAGAGATTTGATAATTAGCCAATTTAATAATACTGGAACTAAGAGGAGTCCCTTGACACTGGAAAGATCTGTTTAAAACAAATAAAGGATGCGCCCCCTTAAACTTCTGACAGAAGATCAAACCAGTAAAAATGTTACTGGTGCCTAAGATGCCATGGCAATGTACTAAGAATCATAGAGAATGCCAGACATGGAAGACAGTTTCTTACCATAAAGAAACTTAAATATAGAAGGTTTAGAAGATCATGTGAAAAATTGAACAGCAATAACAAAATAATTAAGCAATACTTGAAGACAGCCACTGTAGATGTCTTATAATTAAATACATCATAATTTGCCAAGAGAATTACTCTGATAATAATGCCAACTAGAGGTCATATGGGAAAAATCATTAAATGAACATACAAAATTCATTAATTAGAAAGTTACTACACGTCAAAACATCAGTTTTGTATTTATTGCTAATACCACCAAACATTTGAGGAAGAAGCAATAAAAATCTTGTACAAACTCAAAGTATAAGAGGAGGGAATACTACATTATGAAGTTGGCATATCCTTGATACCAAAAACTGAACAAAGATATTAAAAGAAAATTACAAATATTCCTCCAGAATGTAGATCCAAGTATCTTAAAACAATATTCACAAATATATTTGTATGCTTTATATATTCAAATAAACTTAAAAGCAAAACGAAAAAAAACCCAATATGTTAAAAGACATATTGACCAAGTGGAGTTTGTTTTAGGCAGACAAGGCTGTTTTAATATTTTAAAGTCCAGCAGCATAATTTACTACATTAGCAGAATAAAAGAGAAAAATCACGATACAGAAAAGGTATTTGAAAACATTCATACATATCCATGTTTTTAAAAAAGTCAGTGAACTAGTAGTTCTTAGAAGGAAATGTCCTCAACCTGAAATACAGGGTATCTATGAAAATCCCACAACTAACATCTTACTGAATGGTAAAATTTTGAATGTTTTCCTCTTTAGATCAGAAATGAGGCAAAGATGTATTCTTACAACTTCTATTTAACTTTGCATTGGCAGTTTCAGAGAATACAGTAAGACAGGGAGAAAAAGCAAAAGGAATATAGGCAAGCAATTAAGAAGTAAAAGTCCCTTTATTTGGAGACAATGTGATTTAAACAATCATCAAATGTATGTTTTGATATATAGTAACTTTCTAATAAAGAATTTCTTATGTTCATTTAATGATTTTTTTTCCCTATGACCTGTAACAGAAATTATTATCTGGGTAATTCAGTTGGCAAATTATAATGTATTTAATTATAAGCCATCTAGAGTGGCTCTCTTCAACTATTGTTTAATGATGTAGAAAATCCTAAGGAATCTATTTTAAAACTAGAATTTATAAGGGAACTTAGCAAGATCACAGGAGACAAGGTCAATATACAAAATTAAATTGTATTGCTATTCTTAGCAGCAGTCAATTGGAAAATGAGATAATACCATTTATATTAGTGCAAAAAACCATAATATACTCACAAATAACTTTCAAATAAGCAGTGCAAGATATCTGCACTATAAACAACAAATCACTTAGACAACTTTTTTAAAACCTGAAAAACTGGAGAAACATACAATATTATTTTGAAAACAATATTATTTTCAATTTTCCCCCATTTGATGTATATATTTCATGCAATTCAATCAAAATCTCAGTTATACTTTTGTAGAAATTGATAAGTTAAATGTAGAATACAAATGAAAACGGGACCTGGAATAGCCTACACACATTGAAAACAATGAGCAAATTTAGAGGACTTACATGCCTATTTTCAAGACTTGTTATAAAGGTACATTAATCAAGACAGTGTGGTATTAGAATAACAGCATATTTACAGGTCAACATAGCAAAATAGGAAATCCAAAAATAGATTAACACATATATGGTTAACTGATTTTCAACAAAGAGATCAATGCACCTCAATGGGGAAAAAATCATTTCAACAAATGATGCTGGTTAAAAGTGTGGGGGAAGAAAGTGAACCTCAACCCAACCTCACACCACACACAATAATTTGAGATGATTCATAAGCTTACACATAAAACTTAACATATAAAGCTTCTGAAGAGTCATAAAAGAACAACTTTATGTTCTGAAGTATGCAAAAAAATTCCTGGGCACAAAAGCACGAATTCAAAATAGAAAAAAATAAAGGAAGGGTTATATAAGTTTTACCAAAATTAAGAACTTCTGCTTATTGAAAGCTGCCATTAATAAAGTCAAATCACTGGATTGGAGAATATAGTTTCAAGACATGAATTTTACAACAGACATATTCAGACTATATAATGAATTCCTATGAATCAGCAATATAAAGAAGACAACCAAATTTTTTAAATGGCTGTGAGACAAATTTTTCAAAAAAGAAAATTATCCAATAAGCATATGAAAAATGCTTCACATCTTCAGTCACAAGGAAAATGCAAATTGAAACTTTAGTGAGATACTGTCTTCATACTCACAAAAATAACCCAAATTTTAAAAACTGATAATGTTGGGAGGATATGTAGCACCTGGTACTCATACATTGCTGGTGGGAGTATAAAATGGAGTCAGTTTAGAAAGCTATCTGACAGCTTCTTACAAAATTAAACATACACATTTACTATAACCTAGCAATTGCATTTTAAAATATTGTCCCAAGATAAATGAAAGCATGTTCATAAGAAGACATACAAAAATGTTCCCATTGGCTTTATTCATAAAAATAAATAACTGAAAAAACCCAATGTACATTATCAAAAGAGTGGATAAATAAATCATAGCATATTTAAAGAATGGAAAATAACTCCACAATAAAACATAACAGTTACTGATATATGCAATGCTATTTGATGAATCTCAAAAAAAATTATGTTGAGCAAAAGAAGCTAGACACAAAAAATTGCTATATATTGCATTTTATGAAGTTCTAGAATAAGCAAAATTAGTCTATAGTGAAGAAAAGCAGAATTGGTTACTTCCAGTAGAGTTGTAGGGTGGGAGGAGAACAGGAAGAGATAATAGAAATATTCTGCACTACTGTGTGGCTACCTGGGTGTATACACTTCTCAAAGTTCATCAGATTATATACTTAAGATACGTGCATTTCATTGCATGTGAATTGTGTCTCATTATTTTACAAAATATAGCAATGGAAAATCCATATACAGGCATGTGACACTTAATGACAGAGATATATTCTGAGAAATGTGTCTTTAAGAGATTTAGTCACACAAATATAATAGAGTGTACTTACACAAACCTACATGGTATGGCCTACTATACCCTTATGCTAGATGGAATAGCCTATTGTTCCTAGGGTGCAAACCTGTACAGCATGTTACTGTACTGAATACTGCAGGTAATTTTACCACAATGTAAGAATTTATTTATCTAAACACATCTACACATAGAAAAGGTACAATTAAAGTATGGTGGGTTTTATAGTATTTTAGGACTATCATCACATATGTGGTCTGTCAGTAACAGAAACATTACGCAGCACATGACTATATTTCAAGGAAAATTTACAGAGGACAACCATCAGGATCTCTTACAGAACGTGACTCCTTGTCAATAATAAAATGAATGTGAGTCTAGGGTAATTCAGCTGGGCTAGGCAAAAAGGTTAAAGGGGAAAGCAAATATACATGGCTACACATGTAGGTACCTAGGCAAGGAGGCGAGTCTTTTGCCTTTTCTAAATTTCAATTTTTTCATCTGTAAAATTAACATTATTGAATGTCAGTGCATTATGCTGTTAGGAATTTTTTGTTGTTGTTCTTTAAAAAAGCAAACACATAGAAATAAGAAATGCAGTGGTGTAGGGCTTCAGATCACAGCCCATTTAGGTCTCCTTGTCTTGACTTCAGTGGCTTCTGGAGCCACTGTGTTTAATCATATGATTCTGAGGAAGATAACTCAAAGCTTGGGATGTATGTACCAATCAGCCTAAAGTTAATTAACCTACACTTATACTTAATGTATGTTACATGTTGACATATTATTCTGATGTTTAATGGATCTGGATTATTTTTATGATTTTATAACAAATTGAAACTTTCAATGATACAAAAAAATAAAATAAAATAAAGACTTCTGGCCCAGGGCATTATTCACTGTTTTGTGTTTTTTTTTTTTTTCTTTTTTGGTTGGGGAGGGATGGGGCGGGGCAAGCACACATCTAAACTAGATTTTTTGTTTTTTAAAAATACAGAAAAACCCTATTTTTTAAATTGGACTTTCTTCAAAAATACTGAGCAAAGGAAGCAAACATTTCACAAGGCTGTAAGGACCCTTAAAATCTTCTTCAATGGTGATTTTTATTAATAGACAATGCTATGATGCAAAATAAACAAAAGGAACTAAATGCTGTTATCTGGAATTAAAAGCACATACTTAAAGTAAAACATGAAATATATACACTGCATTATGGAAATAGGTTGACTGTCAAGCAGGCAATTAAAAACTAAAATATAGTGAGCCACAGACACATTCATTTTCTAACAATGGATGAATAACAAGTGGGCTTTTTTACCTTTCTTTTTTCTTTCTTACAAGGAACACAAGAATACAATGTATTTCACAGAGTGGAGTACATATTTTCAAACAATGCTGACACATCTTTATTGTTCAGTCTGTTTCTAGGAAAATTAAATCTCCTTTTTCAGTTTGTGGACAGTTAGCTCGGCTGCACATGTTAATAGAGACCCTCTACCTGAGTTAATTTACCATTTAGAACTATCTGAGTGTGAAAGTAATCCTCGTGGTAAACAACATGTACTCCATGGTAAACACAGCATTATCCCCAGGCCCAATGACGGAGTCAACTCAATAAATAGAAGTCCTGGCAGTAATTCCTACCTTTTACAATTAAAAACTAATTATTGGTTGAAAATAAACAGTGTGGTAATTTCATTCATTACATGCAACAAACAAAGCCCTACAAAGCTCACGTATTTGAGAATTTGTTGTATTTTGGTTAATGAATGAAGTTAAAATACATATACATATTTTTTACCATATTTCTTGACAATTTCACAAGGACAATTACAGCACAGGCACAAGAAAATTGTTGTTAAAAAATGCAGTTGACTAAAATGTGTACCACAGAAGATGATCATTTGTCCAATAAAGATTCTAAGACATCAATGACACAATTAGTAAAGGAACAGAAGTTTTCTATTGCCAAGACATTTGCTGCAAATATAACCTTCAATCTCTTTTATTAAATCACAACTGAAGACACCAGTAATATGGTTAGCTAGAATATGCTCTATTAATGGCTAATATTTATTAATGCATAGTAAATAGCTATTACACATAATTTACATATATCCTTTAATTC
This sequence comes from Homo sapiens, assembly GCF_000001405.40. Lineage (NCBI taxonomy): Eukaryota > Metazoa > Chordata > Mammalia > Primates > Hominidae > Homo > Homo sapiens. The sequence continues at coordinate 49,725,796 of NC_000002.12, forward strand.
TCACAACAATCATGAGACCTACCTCATATTCACTGTTCATTTTGAATACATTAGATTCATTTTTGTGCATTTAATTCATGAAAAATTCATAATCAAATTGGTTTTGAAGCCGAGTGGAGATGCTTCCATCAAATCAAAGGCTACAGTAGATACTAAAAGATACTAGAATATTTATATACATTTACACAATAATCCACTACTGGAGACTTAACCTGATAAATAATCATAAAAGTACTTGCATAAGTCACAGGAGAAAAAAAATGAATCAACGCAAAGTAAAAAAAATAAAGGTACAGTGGGAAAGAAAGTCCCTGTAAATTTACTACAAAGAAGTTGTATTTAATATAAAAAAGTATTGTGCATAATTGTTAGAGTTGGGTTACAAACTCAACTCTGATCAAAGCAGAGAGAGAAGTCAATTATAAGATTTTGATATGGTTTGGCTGTGTCCCCACCCAAATCACATATCAAACTGTGATTCCCACCTGTATTAGGCCATTTTCACATTGCTGTTGAAGACATACCTGAAACTGGTAACGAAAAGAGGTTTAATTGGACTTACAGTTCCACATGGCTGCAGAGGCCTCAGATTCATGGTGGAAGGTGAAAGGCCCTTCTTACATGTCAGTAGCAAGAGGAAAATGAGGAAGATGCAAAAGTGGAAACCCCTGATAAACCCATCAGATCTTGTGAGACTTATTCACTATCACAAGAATAGCACGGGAAAGACTGGGCCCCATGATTTAATTACCTCCCATATGGGTCCCTCCCATAACATGTGGGGATTCTGGGAAGTAAAATTCAAGCTGAGATTTGGGTGGGGACACAGTCAAACCATACCACCACCTGTCAAAGGAGGGACATATAATCCCCAGGTGTGAAGGGAGGGAGGTGATTGAATAATGGGGGCAATTTCCCCCATAGTGTTCTCATTATAGTGAGTTCTCACGAGATCCGATGGTTTTATAAGGGGCTATTCCCCCTTCACTTTCTCTTCTCTCTCCAGCAGCCTTGTGAAAAACGTGCCTGCTTCCCCTTCTGCCATGATTGTAAGTTTCCTGAGGCCTCCCCAGCCATATGGAACTGTGAGTCAGTTAAACCTCTTTCCTTTATAAATTACCAAGTCTCAGGGAAGTTCTTTATAGCAGTGTGAAAACAGACCAATACAGATTTATTGTTCCTAATATAAAATGCCAATGGATAGAATAAAGCCCATTTCCCCTCTCTGCCCTCCCTAATAAATATTAAAGTATAAGAAAAATTCTTCCGTGGAGCCTCATAAAAATGACTCTTTAATTAACTTGAAAAGCTCTTCAACAGCATGCTTACCGCATCTCCTTACGTGCAAATCAAAAGTTCTAAAGTATAGCTTAGTGAACAAATCTACTAAGGGACTAAATAATGGTAAAAATACAGACGTCTCATATGGTCTTGTATGAATAACAAGCATATTTAGAGTATATGGTAGAATGAATTATAAAGTATTTAGGGTTGTAGTTTTTAAAACTTACACAGAACTCATGGTCTCTGTTATAGACACCAGAGAAAGAGTGAGAGAGGTGGTAGGTGTGGTGGAGCTCTGGTATCTTACTCCTGGTTTTACCCGGAACAACTCCTTACTTATTACTTCTATATTGGGTTTTCTTATTATTTGAAGAGAGGTTCCACTGAAAAGGAAAAATGGGTTTATTGTAGCATTAACCATCACTGTGAAAATATTACAACACAAAATTGCAAAAATACAGTAATGGCTAATCAGTACTCCAAATTTAGTAATAATAATTATAAAAGTTGAATTGTATACAATTATTACAGTTGAATCACAAATTCAACTCTGACAGTAAAAGAAATGAAAGAGAGAAATCAACTTAAAAGATTCAGTGCCAAGATGAGCCAATATATTGCTGCCCTTGTGGGTGATGATTATGTAGAGTAAAAAGAATTAAGGAAGATTTTTATAAGATACTAACAGAATACAAAATAGTATGCATGGGATGTTTATAACTGTAAAAATGAGTACATGTAAATGATAAATGGAAATACACAAAGATGAAATTTTGTTGTGATTTCAAGGTTTTTTATCTTTAAACATCCCTTTAAAAAGATCAATGATTTTGACTACATAAAGTTTTAGGACAAAAGGCAAATCACTATATGATAGAAAAATTTGCCACAAATGCAATTGTAAAAGGCTTAATACCCTTATTAAAATTGAAAATTATTAAATGATAGGAAAAAAGACTCTAAATTTTCTAATTTCAATAATTTGGAGTTTGACTAGATAAAAATAACAGCAACAAACATTATGTAATATTACCATATTCCAGGAACCTTTCAAATTACCTTACATAAATTAGGCAACTGAATCCTCATAACAATCCTTGTGAATTAGGTACCATTTTTAGAGATAAAGAACCTGAGTCACAGGAATATGAAATAAATTGCCCATATCACATGGCTAGGAAATGGTGGCTCCAAAATTCAAACCCAAGCAGTCTAGCTTCAGAGCTCATGCTCTCAAACAACACACTAACTGCCTGCCAAAGCAAATTACTCTCCGGCTCTACCCTATTCCAAAATATTCATACCACATCATGCAGCAATAACATTATCACCTCCTATCTGCATGCTATTCTATAAATTTCAGAATGTTGTCATATGCATTATCTGATCCTCAGAACACTTCTGATAGCAAGAACTCTCTGCTCATGCTGTCCCTGTATCATTGATCCCAATATTGCTATTGCACGATGTTTGTTTGACATTTGCAACCATTTTGTAGTCTTGACCTCTTGTTCCCTCATCTCTTGGTCCCCTATGGACATTCTAGTCCGTAGGGTTTGATTATCTGGATTTCAGAAAGAATCCCAGGGCGTTGTTAAATTCCATCAATTATAGGTTGTTATAGAAAAAAAGAGAACAAACACATCTACTATAACATCCTGATTTGTCAGAACATTTAAATATTGAAGACATGCTGGGCACAGTGGCTCATGCCTATAATCTCAACATTTTGGGAGGATGAGGTAGGAGCATTGTTTCAGACCAGGAGTTTGAGACCAGCCTGGGGCAGCATAACAAGAGCTGTCTCTACTAAACATAAAAAAAAATTTATTGGATATAGTGATGAATGTCTGTCGTCTCAGCTACTCGAGAGGCTGAGGTGAGAGCATCACTCAAGCCTGGGAGTTTGAGGCTGCAGTAAGCTATAATAGCACCATTGCAATCTAGCCTGGGCAACAGAGTGAGACTCTGTATCAAATTAATTAATTATTTATTAACTTATTTATTTAGGTGTGTGTGTGTGTAGACAACCATACTTACAAAGCTAATTTCTCATGGTATATAAATGTAAAAGTGGCCAGTGATAATATTAGCCAGACAAATACCCTAACATTAGCTCTAATGTGGATAATAAAGTTATAAATGCTTTAACTATAATTTTAACTATCATTTTCTTACTGAGAAAAATTACATGTACATTATACAGCTACTAACAGGAGGCCAGAAATCCAGGCTTCTAAGAAAGACTGTGATATACTACTGGACAATGGAATTCACATTTGAGAATACAAGAAGCATCAAAAGCCTTTGTGTCCAGTCAACACTTTAGAGTTTTCCTATAAATAGAAACAAATGTCTTTGTACCCACATTTTTTAAAACTCAGTATTGTTAGTCTATTTTACTGTTGAGACCACAGGAATTGAATAGCCAGAAAATGATAGGTCATAGTGACAGATTCAAACTTCACTGCTGTTTCTACCTAGCAAAAAGCCAAAACCCAACCAATATTCCATTGAATATTTGTTTTAAAAATAACTAAAAATAGGCCGGGCGCGGTGGCTCACGCCTGTAATCCCAGAACTTTGGGAGGCCGAGGCGGGCGGATCACGAGGTCAGGAGATCGAGACCATCCCGGCTAAAACGGTGAAACCCCGTCTCTACTAAAAATACAAAAAAATTAGCCGGGCGTAGTGGCGGGCGCCTGTAGTCCCAGCTACTTGGGAGGCTGAGGCAGGAGAATGGCGTGAACCCGGAAGGCGGAGCTTGCAGTGAGCCGAGATCCCGCCACTGCACTCCAGCCTGGGCGACAGAGCGAGACTCCGTCTCAAAAAAATAAAAATAAAAATAAAAAATAAAAAATAAAAAATAAAAAAAATAACTAAAAATAGCTTTCTTTAAAAAGTGACTTAAAGATTACAGAACAAAGGGAATTTTTGGACAGAAGTAAAGAGAATATGATGCATGTGATTTAGCTAAAAGTATGGAAAAAAGTCAATTACCATATTTTCTTAAAATTCAGATCAGGAACTAATTTTGCAGTTGTCAATTTTCTAATAACATGAAATCAGATCTTTGAAGTATCATTATAATATATTAAAATAATTGATATTAAACATGGCCTCTACCTCATTTGGGATTAAAATCAGTAAAATCATCTCAGCTCCTTTAGTGAGAGAATTATCAGACTATGGGAAAGTAATTTTGTTTTGCTTTTGCTTTCAAATGAGCAAATGCTCCTTTTAGGAAAAAAATACAGATGAATGAAGAAAAAATATAAAATTAAAGAGATATATTTAATAATAATCTCACCACCAACAGCTAACAAATATAATTACAATAATGCTTTGCAATAATGCAATGCAGTAAAACACTGGACATGTGTATTTTAGTCCATTAGTGTTGCTATAAAGGAAATTACAAAGAAAAGTTTATATGGTTCATGGTTCTGCAGACTCTACAAGAAGCATAGTGCTATCATCTGCTACTGATGAAGGCCTCAGACTGCTTTCACTCATGGTAGAAGCTGAAGGTGAACCAGCATATAAAGATAACATTGTGTAAGACAGGGAGAAAGACAGTGGGGAGAGAAGTGCCAGGCTCTTTTTAACAATAAATTCTCACAAAACTAATTAGAATGAGAACTTATTACCATGAGGAGAGCACCAAGCTCTTCATGACAGATATGCCTCTGTGACCCAAATACTTCCCACTAGTCTCCACTCCCAACACTGGGGAGCAAATTTCAACATGAGATTTGAAGTGGGCAAATATCTAAACTATATCAATGTGCTATTACTGAAGTTTTTTTAATGTATTGACTTATTTAATCCTTATTACAAACCTGTGAGGCATGGACTCAAATTTTACAGTCTCCATTTCACAGAAGAGAAACTAAGCCATAGAAAGGATAATGTGACTTGCTTCAAATCACATAGCTACTAAGTGATGGTGAGGCTTCAGTCTCCAACATCTTGGCCTTAAATCAGTGATTGTTATCACTATTCTCTATTGCTGGCAACAATAGAGAATATATCATGGACATAAAGGAAGCAAATAGTCCACATCCACTGGATATGGACTCACGTGTCAAATATTATAGACTGTATTAGTCCATTCATGCTGCTGATAAAGACACACCTGAGACTCGGCAACTTACAAAAGAAAGAGGTTTAATGGACTTACAGGTCCATGTGGCTGGGGAACCCTCACAATCATGGTGGAAGGCAAGGAGGATCAAGTCACGTCTTACATGGATGGCAGCAGGCAAAGAGAGAGGGCTTGTGTAAGGAAACTCCCATTTTTAAAACCATCAGATCTCACGAGACTTATTCACTATCATGAGAACGCCATGAGAAAGACCTGCCCCCATGATTCAATTACCTCCCACCAGGTCCCTCCCATGACATGTAGGAATTATGGGAGTTACAATTCCAGATGAGATTTAGGTGGCGACACAGCCAAACCATATCATTCTGCTCCTGGTCCCTCCCAAATCTCAAGCCCTCACATTTCAAATCCAATCATGCCTTCCCAAAGTCCCCCAATGTCTTAACTCATTTCAGCATTAACACAAAAGTCCACAGTCCAAAGTCTCATTTGAGACAAGGCAAATAAGTCCCTTCTGGCTATGAGCCTGTCAAATCAAAAGCAAGTTAGTTACTTCCTAGATACAATGGGGGTACAGGCATTGGGTAAATACAGCCATTCCAAATGACATAAATTGGCCAAAACAAAGATATTACATGCCCCATCCAAGTCTGAAATTCAGCAGGGCAGTGAAATCTCAAAGCTCCAAAATGACCTCCTTTGACTTTATGCCTCATATCCAGGTCACCTGCTGCAAGAGGTAAGTTCCCATGATCTTGAGCAGCTCTGCCCTTGTGGCTTTGCAGGGTATACCCTCCCTCCTGGCTGCTTTCACAGGCTGGCATCGAGTATCTGTGGCTTTTCCAGGCATACAGTGCAAGTTGTCAGTGGATTTACCATTTTGAAATCCGGAGGACAGTGACCCTCTTCTCATAGCTCTACTAAGCGGTGCCCCAGTAGGGACTCTGTGTGGGGGCTCCAACTGCACATTTCCCTTCTGTACTGCCCTCACAGAGGTTTTCCATGAGGGCCCCACCCCTGTAGCAAACTTCTGCGTGGGCATTCAGGTCTTTCTATACATCCTCTGAAATCTAGGCAGAAGTTCCCAAACCTCAATTCTTGACTTCTGTGCAACCGCAGGCTCAACACCACGTGTAAGCTGCCAAGGCTTGGGGTTTCCACCATCCAAAGCAACAGTCCAAGCTGTACCTTGGCCCCCGTCAGTCACAGCTAGAACAGCTGGGACACAGAGCACCAAGTCCCCAGACTGCACACAGCAGAAGGACCCTGGGCATGGCTCACAAAACCATTTTTTCCTCCTAAATCTTCAGACCTGTGATGGGAGGGGCTGCCACAAAGGTCTCTGACATGCTCTGGAGATATTTTCCCCATTTTCTTGCTGATTAACTTTTGGCTCCTTGTTACTCATGCAAATTTCTGCAGCTGGCTTGAATTTCTCCTCAGAAAATGGAATTTTCTTTTCTGTCATTTTGTCAGGTTGCTAATTCTTCAAACTTTTATGCTTTGTTTCCCTTTTAAAACTGAATACCTTTAATAGCACCCAAGTAACATCTTGAATGCTTTGTTGCTTAGAAATTTCTTCCACCAGATACCCTAAATCATCTCTCTCAAGTTCAAAGTTCCACAAATCTCTATGGCAGGGTCAAAATCCCACCAGACTCTTTGCTAAAATGTAACAAGAGTCATCTTTGCTCCAGTTCCCAACAACTTCCTCATCTCCATCTGAGACCACTTCAGCCTGGAATTCATTGTCTATACCATTATTAGCATTTTGGACAAAGCCATTCAACAAGTCTCTAGGGAGTTCCAAACTTTCCCACATTTCCTGTCTTCTTCTGAGCCCTCCAAACTGTTCCAATCACTGCCTGTTAGCCAGTTCCAAAATTGCTTCCACATTTTCGGGTATTTTATTCAGCAGCACCCCACTCCTGGTACCAACGTACTGTATTAGTCTGTTTTCACTCTGCTGATAAAGACATACCTGAGATTGGGCAATTTACAAAAGAAATAGGTTTATTGGACTTACAGTTCCACGTAGTTGGGGAAGCCTCACCATCATGGTGGATGGCAAGGAGGCGCAAATCATGTCTTTTTTTTTTTTCTTTTTGAGACAGGGTCTCACTCTGTCACCCAGGCTGGAGTGCAGTGGCACAATCTCAGCTTACTACAACCTCTGCCACCTGGGTTCAAGTGATTCTCCTGCCTCAGCCTGCCAAGTAGCTGGGATTACAGGTGCACATCACCATGCCTGGCTAATTTTTATATTTTTAGTAGATATGGGGTTTCACCATGTTGGTCAGGCTGGTCTGGAACTCCTGACCTCGTGATCTTCCTGCCTCAGCCTCCTAAAGTGCTGGGATTACAGGCGTGAGCCACCATGCCTGGCCGAGCAAGTCATGTCTTACACAAATGTCAGCAGGCAAAGAGAGAAAGCTTGTACAGGGAAACTCACATTTTTAAAACCATCAGATCTCATGAGACTTATTCGCTATCACAAGAACAGCACAAGAAAGATCTACTCCCATGATTCTATTTCCTCCCACCAGGTCCCTCCCACGACATGTGGGAATTGTGGGAGAAAAAATTCAAGATGAAATTTGGGTGGGGACAAAGCCAAACCATATCATGGATGCTATGCAAGTGACAAATTTCAGATAAACTTATAATCTGAAAATACCTAATATTTTAATATCTTGATATTGTCTACCAAATTAACCAATTAGCAGAAAAAAATGCAAAATGAATTTGTTAATGTGAGAAAAATTATGTCCTGAAAATGAGTTCAGTAGAAAACATAATGGTACTATTACACTTAGATTTGATATTCAATTGTCTTACTTCCATCAATTCAATACTTTCCCACACAAAGTACTTTCAAATAATGTCATGATCAATATTGATTGAAATTCAAGTTGAAGAAAATAGGATTTTTATGTACTTTATTAAGCACTCTCTCATATATCTCATGAAAAAATCATCAGAGATCTAGCTACAAAATTAACAAGTTCACTTTTGAAGCTGATGCATGGGAACTTTATCTGAATGAGTGGTGGCCTCATTTTCCTCCATTTCTTCAAATTGCCATTTTAGTAGAGCTACCTATGTATCTTTTTTAAAAAATACAGATAATGTCAATTCAATCATTCCCACCAAGTGATTCAAATAGAAAATACTATATTTAAATATCAAAGCTAAAAGTGCAATTTGAATAGTCCTTGATTCTCACATTGCAATACACTATTTCAATGTTTAATAGAATCTAGTAATAGTTGTTTTATGAGGAATACATATACAGTTATTCTACAAAGACGTAAAGACAACAATTTCTAAAATTTCTACACAAGAATAGAGTAAGTCTACACTATAGAAGTTAGATTACTTATGATCATGCAATTTCTCCACCCCAAATACATATGTGGTTTAGTGTTTGTATTATTAGGGGACAGAAAAGTGCAGGTTCATAATTATATTTTTATAGCATATTATATCAAGAAATAATCTTAGAAATTATCTAGTTGTGGCAGAAAAATATCTTTTAATAGTTGTGGCAGAACTAAAAATTATCCAATTGCTGTTTATATAACCCAATTTTATTTCCTCTTGGGTACACAGTTAAACCACATGTCACAAGCTTCCTTGTGGCCTTGCATGTGACTGAATTCTAATGAGTAGATTGCAGGTGAGCATTATGTGTTCTATTTCCTGGCCTGGCCCACATAAGTATCTCCCATGCCTAACAGTCTATGCCTTCTTCCTGTTAACAGCTGATGGGAATGAAGAAGACACTCTGTCAGTGACACCCTGGGGATGGATGCCACCAACACACAAGAGCCTATTATTAAGTATTTGGGGATGTTGTAAGCCAGTTGTTAAAATGTTGATAGCTTGAAATTGACCATGGTGGTAGTACTGATCTAGCGAAATCAGCAATGCTATCATTAGGGCTTTTTTTCATTTCTTTTTTGGATATATATATATTTGGAGAGATTTACTAGATTCACTAGGTTTACTAGAATACCATTGTCACTAGAATGGTTTCCTAATTCACATATGGTAGGTGACAGAGCCAAAATCTGGGAGAAATTTTTGTCTGATTCATTACTTGAAAAAAAGAAAAAAAAAAAAGAATTAGCTGACCAGTAACAACTACTTTAAATTGCTGTGTAGGGAGATATAGGGTGCCCAGGTTTGCTCAGGATGCTCTTTGTGCCCATTTTCCCAAATTAATATATTCCCTTTCACTTGAAAAAATGTCTTAGTTTGAATGATGGTCACTCCGGCAAGATAAAAACATAAAACGTGTCTTGTATTAACCCACTCAGGATGGAGGTTTATCAGTCACATTCTCTGTAATATCTTTGCTAATACATTAATTCAATCCCTTAATTTTATAATAAGGAAATTGATATTTGATCTTCATAATGATTTTTTTAAGAAAAGCAGTTAGCTCATATACAAAGTGTGTCACGTATGTGTAAAGTAAGGCATAGGGAGTAAAGCAATTTGCCAAATTGATAGTGAAAGAGAATTAAGGCTGCTATTTCTAAGTTTCCAATTATCTATTGAACTCAGTATGTGACTTAGGTACCATGGTACCTTTTTGTTTAGGAAAATATGTATTTCAGTTTGTATTTTCTCAGCACACACCAATTAGAGAAAGGATAGAATTGTCCATAAGTATCCTGAATGGCCATAAAAAATTTATTTAACATAGTTCTTGTGTCTCCTGGAGGCATTTTGTTTCTCATCTACACTGCAGTTGCTGCTTCAAAATTTTAACAAATTAAAGCCCACTTGGCTTCACGTCAAATCCAATGTCCCAAAGTTTTTGTTTTGTTTTGTTTGTTTGTTTTTTGCCAGCAAGTATAGTATAGAGAGACTCATTACTGGAATAAATAGTGCCTTTATCTAAAATCAATCAGAATTATATTGACTCTGGTCATGCAAACCCGTACTTGGTACTTGCATGCACACACACACAACCCATACCATGCCCCTTCATAAAAGCCTCTGGATCAGAGAGGTTGGTTGACACCGGTTGAACAACAGAGTTTCTACTGTCCATATCTTTTCAACTTTTATTTTAAATTCATGGGTATATGTGAAGGTTACATAAGTAAACATGTGTCATGGGGGTTTGTTGTACAGATTATTTCAGCACCCAGGTATTAAGCCTAGTACCCATTAGTTACTTTTCCTGATCCTCTCTCTTCCCAGCCTTCAACCTCTGAAAGGCCCCGTTGTGTGTTGTTCCCCTCTATGTGTCCATGTGTTCTCATCATTTAGATCCCACTTAAGTGAGAACATGTGGTATTTGGTTTTCTGTTCCTATGTTAGTTTGCTAAGGATAATGGCCTCCAGCTCCATCCATGTCCTTGAAAAAAACATGATCTCATTTTTTATGGATGCATAGTATTCCATGGTATACATATACCACATTTTATTCATCTAGTCTGATATGATTTGGCTGTGTCCCCAACCAAATCTCATCTTGAACTGTAGCTCCCATAATCTCCACATGTCATGGGAGGGACCTAGTAGGAGGTAATTGAATCATGGGGGTGGGTTTTTCCCATGCTGTTCTCATGATAGTGAGTAAGTCTCATGAGATCTGATGGTTTTATAAAGGGCAATTTCCCTGCACATGCTCTCTTGCCTGCTGCCAGGTAAGATGTGCCCTTGCTCCTGCTTCACCTTCTGCCATGATCATGAGGCTTTCCCAGCCATGGAGATCTGTGAGTCAATTAAACAGCTTTCGTTTATAAATTACCCAGTCTCAGGTATGTCTTTATTAGCAGTGTGAGGATGGACTAATACACAGTCTATCATTGTTGGGCATTTAGGTTGATTCCATGTCTTTGCTACTGTGAATAGTGCTGCAATGAACATATATGTGTGCATGTGTCTTTATAATAGAATAATTTAATTCATTTGGGTATATCCATCTTAACTTCTGGATTATTTCTACTAGCTGTTTATGTCCAGGTTCCTCTGTCTCAATGTCATTATCCCACAGCCATTCAGTCAAAATCCTCAGCAATCTGTTTCCTTTCTACATATTTTAATTTTGGTTAACATTTATGAGTAATGTATACTTTTCATGTTATATAATTTTGTCCTCACGGAAAACATATAAAGCAGGTGTGACTACTATCCTCATAAATGAAGAAACTAAGGTTTAGAGAGCTTAAGTAAAATATCTAAGTTCCCATAGCTAGTAAGAGGCAGAATTCAGATTTACATGTACATTGATATGATTATAAAGCTCACTTTCTTGGTTACTATCCTCTCCCCAGGTACTCTTTCCTGGTATCCCATAGTTCCTCAATAGTGATCCTTTGCTCTTATCTAATTATAACCTGCTTTATGTATCTTTCTACTATCACATCTTTGCTCATACCCATCTTTACCCCCATAATTTTTCCTTTGCCTGTCTACTTGAGTCTTAATCTTCAATACTCAGTTCTAGTTCTACATTGCCCTCAAGCTTTCTTCTTATTTCAATAGTCCCTTATTTGCCTCAAATATGAAAGCATGATATTGCCCTCAAGCTTCCTTCTTATTTCAGTAGACCCTTATTTGCCTCAAATCTGAAAGCATGAGATCAAGAGAGAATCTGAATTAGTAGTGCTGAGTCACAAACGCAAAGCAGCAAACCATTATCACCCAGGTTAAACATCCTGTTGACAAGTTTTATTTGGTCTGCATAGTCATTTTGCTTTTGTTTCCATTTTTAATTTAAAATTGTTTCCAAAACTTAAAAACTTTTTTAGAAAAATGCAGGCCATGCACGGTGGCTCATGCCTGTAATCCTAGCACTTTGGGAGGCTGAGGATGGTGGATTGCCTGAGCTCAGGAATTCAAGTCCAGCCTGGACAACATAGTCAAACCCCATCTCTACTAAAAATACAAAAAATTATCCGGACATGGTGGCACATGCTTGTAATCCAAGCTAGTCTGGAGGCTGAGGAAGGGAAATTGCTTGAGCCCGGGAGGTGGTGGTTGCAGTGAGCTGAAACTGAGACACTGTACTTTTAGCTGGGGCAACAGAGCAAGCTCTGTCTCAAAAACAAAAAAACAAACAAAAACAAAAACAAAAAAACAGAAAAGTACAGATTTTTTTTTTTTTTCAAATGAGAAAACAAAGGCATGGAGAGATTTCAGTTTTGCTTACGAGAACACAGTTGACTTAGTGGAATGGAGACCCAGATTTCCACAATCTGAATCTGGTGTTCCTTCAGTTCTACTTATACGTCGCTCTGCTATTTAAGCTGTATCTAAGACAGGTATGTCCTAATTAGGTTTTATAATTACTGGCAGATATTTTTAAGTATCAAACTTTTTGCTTGTATTTACACAGCAATTACTGTAGTACTTGCTAAATACTGATTGATTCCCTGAATGACTCTTGTGCTAACTGAGGCAAAGTCAGAACCAATTCTTCCTTCTGACAAAGAGGAAGAGAGACAAATTAGTTTTACCCAGCAGTTGATAGCCACAATGTGTTGTCTGCTCCTGGAAAGTGCTCTATTAATACCATCCTGAGGCTCTGTCCTACCATAGGGCCTGGGTCAGCCATCCTGCGCTCCCAGGTAACTGGATGGGACAAAGGAATAACAGAAGCTCTGTGAGGTTAGATCACTTTAAGTAAAGGTCCCCAAATTAAAACGTATTCAAGGCAGACAGATCCAATTTAATCTGATTTTCTCTGGTACAGGCCCAATATTAAGAAGAGAATAATTCATCAGAATAAAAAATGACTCATTAAAGAAGTGTTTAAGATATGGAAAGAAGAACCAACAATAGAAAAAGACAGTTCTAAAGTTCTAGCTCTTCAATTTATTCATTGTTTTCTTTCCCTATACACAAAACAAAGAGAAATGGACCCACAATAATCTATTAAGCATATAAAACAAGTTCCAATTTGCTTGTCCACTAGTCAACATGGCGGTCTGTGTTAGTCCAATGTGTTGCTATAAATAAATACTTGAGGCTGGATAGTTTATAAATAAATAGGTTTATTTTGGTTCACAGTTCTGCAGGCTGAACAGAAAATATGATGCTGGCATGTTTCTGGTATAGGCCTCAGGAAGTTTACCATCATGGCAAAAGGCAAAAGCAGAGCAGATGTATGACACGATTAGTGCAGGTGCAAGAGGGAAAGGGAGGAGGTACCACACTCTTCTAAACAACCAGATCTCACATGAACTCACAGAGTGAGAACTCACTCACTACCATGCAGATGGTATCAAGCCATTAATGAGGAATCCATCCCCATGAACAAAACATCTCCCACTAGGCCCCACCTCCAACATTGGGCATCTCATTTCAACATGTCATTTGGAGGGATCATACATCCAAACCATATCATGGTCTATTATATTTAGACAATATTGGACAAGTGGGAACTTGTCTGTAATTTGAAAGTATATTATAACTTGCAAATAAATTGTGATAATTATAGTAATCAATAGCCTAATAAAAGATTGCATAATTGCATTTTTCTGATAATTTAAATAGGGAAAAATGTATATAAACCTACTTGTAGTAAATCAACACTTTACCTAGAAATAAGTCAGTGTAATAAATCCTAAGGCTGAAATATATTGTTTTTATCTTGCCCTACAAGGATGAAACTAACGGGACAAACATTTCAAAGGTTAGAAAATTTTCCATCAAGCTTCTAAGACACTTAGTGATACCCTTTGGTACCACATTAATAATACTTATAAATAAATGGTTAAGAAGTTAGTTAATCCAAGTTTCTTGTAGCCTGTTAGCCTTAGTTGTACTGGATAGTACCACTTTCCTGTTCCTTTCTCCCACAATAATATATTATAAACACACACCACACACACACAAATACATACACACACACACACGATAGAAAAGAACAACAAAAAAAAGTATATTAAAGTGCTTACGCTAACAAAATCTAAAATAAAAACTGCTGGTTTCAGAAAGAAAAACCGAAATCACAACCAAAAATGTAAGTTGATCTATGAGGACCCACACATAGGAGTCAGCAAATGTGATTGGAGCTTAATCAACAAAGGGAGGACATGATACATGGCCTTGAGACCATGAGGGAACCGGTATAAAGCCTTCTGCATAAAAACTAGGCACTTGAAGAACTCCAACTTTTGGGAAAAGTGAGTAAACCATGTATACTCATTGGCTGACAGACACAGCAAATTGTTCTTATTCTATTTGATGTTTCAGGTATAAAAAGATATTACCACCAAAAATTAAAAGATTAGACCTTGTTCACCCATTGATAAGAGGCCCTGAGAGATGCAGTATACCAAGTTGGCAAATTAATCTAAATATTTATACAAGAATATTAACCTCGGCCGGGCGCGGTGGCTCATGCCTGTAATCCTAGCACTTTGGGAGGCCGAGGTGGGCGGATCACGAGGTCAGGAGATCGAGGCCATCTTGCCTAACACTGTGAAACCCCGTCTCTACTAAAAATACAAAAAATTAGCTGGGCGCAGTGGTGGGTGCCTGTAGTCCCAGCTACTCGGGAGGCTGAGGCAGGAGAATGGCGTGAACCCGGGAGGCGGAGCTTGCAGTGAGCCGAGATAGCGCCACTGCACTCCAGCCTGGGCGACAGAGCAAGACATGGTCTCAAAAAAAAAAAAAAAAAAAAAGAACCTCAATATCTTTGAGGTTCTGGCAGAAGTCAATGCGCAATTGGCCATTAAAGACATGTTAGCCATACAGGGCTTCCAAAAGAACTCCATGAGAAGGGTGTCTGTGTGTGTGTGTGTGTGTGTGTGTGTGTGTGTGTATTGAACTCACCGTTCATGAAGTGTTTACACAAAGAAACAATAGGACCCCCAAGCCATGCTCCTCCTTACTCTCTCGAGATATTTTTTAACCTGCTCAGGTGGCTGCCTTTCTCTCTCCAGGGCCTCATTACATAAGTAACATATTAAATATCTTTTCCTTTTGGCACATGTGCAGTATTCTCTATTTCAACATCTGAACCAAAATTTAGATGGCATATTGGTCTTCTCTTCCATGGAACAAATATGAGAAACTCTTCAGAAATATAAGAAAATTTGTTTATATAGTCACATTCTTTGAGGATAACACAATAAAATTAGAAATGAATAATAAGTATCTTCCTCCAAAGAATACATACAAGAAGTAAAAATACACTTCTAAGTAACTATTGATGCAAAGAAAATTTTATAATCAAATGTATAAAGTACTTATAACTGAGTGATGAAAAATATACAGTTCAAATTTGTGAGATGCAACTAAACAGTTCTTCAGAAATTTAGTTCTATAAGCTCTTAGATACCATATTAAAAGAACTGATAAATAAATCGTTAAAGCCTTATATCTGTGCATTTTAAAAAGAAAAAACCCTCAGAATTCATAACCTGAGCATTACAGTCAAGATGTTAGAAAAATAACAAAGTATATTTGAAAATATAGGATGACGAAAAATAGCAAAGATAATATTAATTGCAAAAATAAGTTGTATAGAGGAACAGAAGAATAAAATTCTGGTTATTTGAAAGAAAGGTAAAATATACAAACCTATCTTGATATTGATGAATATACAAAAAATAATAGGAAATTAATTGTATTTACATTTTAAAGGCTGAAAGAACTACAATATATTCAGTAATGCAGAGCAGATAAAAGTTTAAAATAACAAAGATTTGCAAATAACGTGCTACGAGTAAACATGGATATTTAAGTGAAAAACTAAATTTCAGAAAATAAAATGCATTTCCAAATGACTTCAGAAAAACAGGCATCTCAGTTCTACTCAGAAGAAAGTAACAGGTTTTGATGGTTCTTTTGGATTTTTCCAAATCTTCAAGGAACAGATAAACTCTAATTTCAAAACTTATCTGAAAGCAGAAAGATAAGCATACCCCCAATATTTTTTATGAGACCACTGAAACTTTGGTGCTGGACAAAGATAATATTAGAAATAAATATCACTGATGAATATAGATACAAAATTTGTAAATAAAATATCAGCTCTTCAAATCTAGCAATGTCTCATACATACAGTAAAGATTATTTCAAGATTGTAAGAAGAATTTAATTTCAGAAAATTTAATTATATATTCCACTGTTTAAACACATTAATGGAGGGTAAAATTTTGACAAATTTGAGAATTTGGATAAATCACAATTCTCAAACATTGACAGTAAAATTACTTTGAAAAATAGTTTTTTGGTATCTATAAACTTGAAGACATACATATACTAGTATTCAGCAATTTCAGTCCTAGATGTGTGATAGAGAATTCATTATATGGGACCAAGAACGTAAAGAATATGTGCATGATTTCTAATAAAGAATAGTAAGGAAATTTAAATGTTAATCCATAGGCGGTAGAAATGTACATTATGGTATATTCTTATAATGTATTACTATTTGATAAATTAGATTATATGTATCCAAAAGAATACATCTCTAGTATATACATTTAAATGAAAAAACGAAGTTTCATCACTCCGAAAAGCAAGCTACTAAAGGAGATTAATAGTATAACAAAAATTATGTTGCCAGGCATGGTGACTCAGGCCTGTAATCCTAGCACTGTGGGACGCTAAGGCGGGAGGATCGCTTGAAGCCAGGAGTTTGAGACCAACCTGGACAACAAAGCGAGACCCTATCTCTACAAAATGAATGAATGAATAAATAAATAAACAAACAAAGGTAGCCAGGCATGGTGGGTGCGCATCTGTAGTTTCAACTACTTGGTACGCTGAGGAGGGAGGATTTGAGCCAGGGAGTCTGAGGCTGCAGTGAGCTGTGATTGCATCACTGCTCTCCAGCCTGGGTGACAGAGCATGACCCTGTTTAAAACAAACCAAAAAGGTATGTAAACTATAAAAATATATGACACGATAATGTAGACAGACCAAAATGTAGTCAAAATATTTAAAGCTAAACCAGAAATATATAAACCAACTTAAAAATAGTAACTCCCTGTGTGGAAAGAAGATGGGAAGGAATGATTGGAGGCTCTAACTTTATCTGTGATGTTTTATATTCTTTTTAAAAATCAGAAATGAATATAAAAAAATCAATATTTACTAATTCTTGATGGAGCATTTATGCATCACAAAATACCTTTGTATTATGAGTGACCATATGGATAAGCTCTTTCTTTTTCAGATATGGAGATGGAAATTGAGACAGTTCATGGACTGCAAGATGAGAGACAAATAGTAGCATAACTAGGGAAAGAAATTCATTTTCTCCTATCTCCAAATTCAGTATTTTTTTCAATGAAATTATGCTGACTTTAATCAGGTAGGTTTTATGTGTTATTTTAATGAGGTTCAATAGAAATATTATACCCCCATTCAGATTTTATTCTTTTGATGAGTTCCCCAGTGTCTTTCTTATTTGTTTCATTCTGCCCTATAATAATAAGAGTTATTTACATCTCTATCTTTCCTACTCTAACAGTCCCTGGATTTCAAGGATCATGCTTTAATCATCTTTTTATCTCCATTCATCAAAGTATCTTATGCAAAAAAAGACATTCAATACGTGTTTGATGAATCAAATACATTGGTTTATTCATCCAACAGGTTGAACAAACATGTTTTGAACATTCATGATAGGTCATGTACTATGCCATGCACTGGGCTAATTGTCACAGGTAAAATGGGTGAAGGTTTAAGCTATAAAGAGTTATTTAGATGCTTTGCAACTAGCATTCATCTTGGAGTTTCTGTTACCATCACTAACCTATTTCTATAGAAATCCAAACACATAAGGAATGCAATGTTCTCAGATTGATGAGCTAAATCTAAAGAGCTAAATCTAAAGAATCTAAAGAGAAGGCACATGTTGGTACGATTGCTCCTCAAATAATCAATATGTTTTTGCTAATTTTACAGCATGAAAGAATTTATGTACCAGGGTAAAGCTAATCAACCCCAAAATAAAAATCTCCATGCCTTTCCTCTATTTCCATCCTTTTAAAATTTTAATGATGTAAAAATAAGATACTCACAACACTGATAACACTTTAAAAAACTTTAGTGTTTCACATGGTATTTTATTTCTGGGTGAGAAAGAGTAAGCCCGTTCTATCCTGTCTCTTTCACTAAATACAGCTATGCAAACTGAACAGAATGCATGAAGTAGCTATTTAAGGAATGGAGAGTAAATAATATCTGATAGATTTGGACGACTAGAATTGAAAGTACCACCAAACTATTGATTAGTTTATCTGTTTTTTTTTTCCCTAGTCTTCACAATCTCAACTCAACACAATCCAAAACTAACAGGGCAGCTCCAGGGAAAGGTCTCTAGTTCCGGCTCAAATAGAGAAAAAGCATCTCCCAGTAGTCAGAAAAGAATGAATGAAATTCATTTTCATTTATGCCTGACAATTATCCCAGTGCATGGCACAGTACATGACTTTCGATGAATGTTCGAAACATGTTTGTTCAACATGTTGGATGAATAAACTAATATATTTTATTCATCAAACATATATTGAATGCCTTTTGTGCATATGACACTATGATGGAGATAAAAAGATGATGAAATTTCTCCATTTTTCTTTTCTTTTTTCTTCTGTTTTTTCTCACCTCAGCCCTGAAGCAATCACCAACAGTGGTGGCACCAACAATGGCAGAGATAGGAGCCAACAAGAGCCTAATTTTCTTATAGAGAGTAATCTTTCTTATAAGAAAAACTGTGATTTGAAATGGATAAATCAAATCTTCATTGCT
The DNA here is from genome assembly GCF_000001405.40 of Homo sapiens. Classification (NCBI taxonomy): domain Eukaryota; kingdom Metazoa; phylum Chordata; class Mammalia; order Primates; family Hominidae; genus Homo; species Homo sapiens. The sequence continues at coordinate 49,744,922 of NC_000002.12, forward strand.
TTTTATTTCTGTGTATCCTTGTATCGCATAGTGCAAGATGCAGGCACAATCATGTGAAATGTATGATAGACTAGGGCAAATAAAATCCCAGCTTTCTGACAAGGGCAAAGTAAAGGAAAGGATTGCAGAACCATAAAGCAGAAGAAGGATAAAAGAGGAAAACTTTCATGAAAGTGACCCCATAAGTTGTCTTTGAAATTTCAGCCTCACCCTCAAGCTGCATATACATGGATCTGATCTTAACAGCATTCCATAGACTTTGAGAAGTAAACAATGGAATAGACTACCACTCAGGTCCCCAAATGGCCAGTGAGTATTATAACCATGGAACAAATATGCGAAATATTGCAAAAAGTTTGAAAATGAAATTGACGTTGAAACCATAATCACAGAAGTCTAGTCAAAACTTGTGGCCTGAATCTAACCACACCAAGGGCCTGCTCAAAATTTAAAAGTAATAATAAAGTAAAATTTCCCACAGGACTTAAAGAAGACTCCAAATTTTTTCTTTTCTCAGACAGGGTCTTGATCTGTCACCAAGGCTGAAGTGTAGTGATGTGATCATAGCTCACTACAGCCTTGAACTCCTGGCTTAAGGAATTCTCCCATCTCAGCCTCCTGAGTAACTAGGACAGCAGGCACAGACCCCCAGGCCTGGCTAATTTTTTTAAAACTTTGGGGAGATACGGTCTTGCTATATTGCCCAGACTAGGCTCCAGTGATCCTCCCATCTTGGCCTCCCAAATTGCTGAGGTAATAAGTGTGAGCTACCATGCCTGGGCTGACCTAGTGTTTTATAACATAATACTCAAAATGTTCAGGAGACCATCTAAAATTACTTGGTAAGCTAAGAACCAGAAAAAGACAATGACAGATGTCAATGCCAAGATGACACAGATATCAGAACTGTATCATAAAGGACTTTAAAACAGCTATGATATGCTTTAATATTTTATAGTGAATGCTTTTGAAACAAAGAAAGAAAATTTCAAAGAGAAGATATTAAGAATAACCAAATAGAATTTTAAGAACTAAAAAAATCATTTAGTAGTCAAGTTCAATAGACAACTGGAGATAATAAAAGTAAGAGCCAGATAACTTGCACATAGGTCAATAAAAAGTATTCATTCATGGATACTCTTCAGCCATAAAAAAAGAATGGAATACTGTCTTTGTCAGCAACTTGAATGAAACTAGAGGCCATTATTCTAAGTGAAGTAACTCAGGAATCAACGAACTACCTCATGTTCTCAGTTATAAGTAAGAGCAAAGCTATGGGTACACAAAGGCATTCAGAGTGGTGTAATGGTCATCGAAGACCCAGGAGGGAGAAGGGTAGGAGGGGAATGAGGGAGGAAAAAGATACCTATTGGGTACAATGTACACTACTCAGGTGACAGGTGCACTAAAATCCCAGACTTCACCACTATACAATTTATCCACGTAACCAAAAACCACTTATACCCCTGAAGCTACTGAAATCAAAATAAATAAAAATAAAAATAAAGAATCACCACTGTAAAAAAAAAAAGTATTCATTTAGAACTAAGAGGAAAAAAAATTTCTAAAATGAGCATGTGAGACCATAACAAAGTATAAATATTCATATTATTATAGTCTAAGGAGGGATGAATAAAAACTGCAATATAGAAAAAAATATTTGAGGAAATAGTGAAGGAAAACTTCACAAATTTGGTGAAAGACATGAACCTATCAATTTAAATTGAGAGGTCAGCAAACTTCTAAACTCATAATAATTTATGCACAAACACATTATAATCAAACTGCAGACAAGCTAAAGACATATATCTTGAAGACAATCAAAGAAAAATAACATATTACCTAGAGGGGAACAATGATTCAAATGTCTTTGGATTTCTCATCAGAAACCATGGAGCCATATATGCAAAAGGGTTGTAAGCAAATGAGCACTAAGTAAAAAATTACCATCTTGCTATTTATTCTTAAAAGCACTGATGAAATAAGATGTTTACTAAAGTACTATTGGTTGTGAAAACAATACAAAATTTCTGACGTGCATATGCAACCTAAAATATGAAATCCAGAATATAGTTTGTTCAATTTTTATGGAAAGTGACATTTAACAAAGAGTAAAGCAAGAATATTTTATTCCCTGATTTTTGTGTGCTTAATCAGTCTTTACTTAGTTCTCATCATTACTGTAATAGGTACACAAAAGTTCAACTTTTAAGCCAAAGATTGCGTTTATGAATTCTGTAACTTAGCACTGTATTTTGCTTTAAAGCCTGAATATTAAAACTTCAAGTGAAATTTCTTGTCAAATAGTTATAATTTCTTTGAAATGCCGATTTACTAATGTAACTTGGGCAGTCAGTTTTGCAAAGTGGGCTATATCTGCATTGCAATGAGTTTATACTAATTGTTTAGTATATAGAACACAACTTAGTTTCCTTATTTGCAATCTGGGTAGACAGATTGAAGTCTTTTACTGATTTTTTAAAGATGAATTGTTTGATTTCTTACAAATCAAACAATTGAGTTTTGAGAGTTATGTTAATACAATTTCTTCATTAGATATGTCATATTCAGATATCTTCTCTCAGTCCTTAGCTTAATATTTATTCTTTTCTCAGGAACTTTGGAGAGCAGAAGTTTTAAATTTTGATGAGGTCCTGTTTATTGTGGGTTTTTATTTCTATTATGTATTATGCTTTTGCTGTAATGCCTCAGAACTCCTTGACTAACCTAGGTCACAATGATTTTTCTTCTTTATATTCTTCTAAAAGTTTAATAATATTATGGTTTAAATTTAGATCTATGACTATTCTAGTCAATTTTTGTACAAGCTATAAAATGTAGGTCAGTGTTTTTTCTTCCATATGGATATTCAATTTTTTCAACACTACTTGTTAAAAAGATGACTCTCTCTCCACTGAACTACTTTTGTGCCTTTGTCAAAAATTAGTTGACCATATTTCTAAATCAATCTGTGATCCCTTTACTTTGTTCAATAATCTAGGTATTCATTGCTTTATCATTATCATTTGAATTATTATAGGTTTATAGTAAGTCTTAAAGCCAGATGTGATTCCTCCAACTTTATTCCTCCTTTTCAGTATTGTTTTCACTATTTTGTCTTTCCATATAAATTGTAAAATCTGTTTTTCATATTTAAAAACAAAATCTTAGATACTGATTGCAACTGCATTAAATCTTATATTATTCTGAGTAGAATTGACTATATTGAGTCTTCTGATCTATAAACACTATGCTTCTACATTTATTTAGATCTTCTTTGATTTCATTTATTGGAATTTTTAAAAATTTAGAGCATACAGATCCTATACAAGCTTTGTTATATTTATATCAATTATTTAATTTTTGGAAATATTGTAAATGGTTTGTTTTACAATAATTAGCTGCTCATCTATGGTAACACAGGTAATTTTGGTTGTTCTTGCATACTTCAGCCATACTAAGCCCACTTATTAGTTCTAGAAATATTTTTATAGATTTCTTGAGATTTTATATGTAGAAAGTCATGCCATATGTGAATAAGAACAGTTTTATTTCTTCTATTCCAATCTGCATGCTTTTTCTGTACTTTTCTGGCTTTATTGCACTGTTTAGAATTCCACAGGCCAATGTTGAATAGCATAGCGTGAACATCTTTTCCTTGCTCCCTCAGGCTGTGGCCAGCTCTCCAAAATGACGCAATGCTGGCTATTGGAAGATAAGCAGAAATGCACAGGAATGGTCATATTGTCCAAAGGAACATGGATGGAACCTTTACAGCATCTGTTATAGAAACTACAAGAAATGCATCTTTACTCAGAACACAAGGTAGTCGAAAGCAGAAAGTTGGGAAAAAACATATCTCAGGCAAATTCTAAAGGAAGGGAAGGTAGTATAAGATATATAGCCATATTAATATTAGATAAAGTAGAATTTAATGCAAGGAGAACTACCAGAAAAAATTAAGAATATTTCATAATGATAAAAGTTTTAGTCTACTAGAAAATATAACAATTTTAAATTTGTATGCTTCAATCCCATAATCTCAGAATATATTAAGTAAATTAGATATAACTTCAGAGGAAATACACAAATCATAGAGGTTTTAACACATCTCTTTCAGTAACTGATAGAACAGATAAAGTTACAGAAGACCTAAACAATCCATTTAACAAATACCAAATAACTTCAAAGTACAAAGTCATTTCAAACAGACCTGCAGCATATTAAAAAAATGTTTCATGTGATCAGCCTTAAAGTCTCGGAAAATGTTAAAGGCTTTAAATCATGTACAACAAAGGGGAGTTAACTTAGAAACTAATAAAAATAACTAGAAAACATCTCCTCCCAATGTTTGGAATATGTGACCTTTTTAAAAATAGATCAAAGAAATAATCACAATGGAAATTATAAAATAGTTTGAGTATGACCATGAAAATATGGCATATAAAAACCTGTGAGATACAGTTAAACTCCCCTAAAGAGGCGTAGGTTATAGCCTTAAAAGCATATATTAAAAGTTTACAAATGCAAAAATCCATGATTGAAAAAGCCATCACAAGAACATGGAAAAGGAAAACAAATAAAACCTAAAAGATACAGAAGGGAGAAAATAAAGAGCAAAGATGAATGAGATAACAAAAAAAATACAGCCAAGAAGACCAGCAAAGGCATTTCCAAAGGTCCACTTGATGTTGGTCATTGTAAATGTAAAGTAACATCTGCCAGCATAATGTGTACATGTATGTTTCCATTAAATTCAGCTTCCCAAATGTAGTCAATGAAAAAATGGACTGTTGCCTTTACTAGTGCTGGTGTTTTTCCAAAAGACAAGAACTGAAAATAAAGAGGGACAGGAGAGAGGGAGACGGGTATGGAGGGAAGTTTTGATAATGAGACTGTTACAGCTAAAATAGGTAAGGAAGAATGTAAAGCAATGGCATGATTGACAAATGATGTAACATCAATGGACTGAATAGGGCAGTGTAAGAGTGGAGGGTTTGAAACTGAATCATGAGAGGAGTGGTATAGTTTTCGCTAACGACATTCTTTGTGTCATAATCTCTGGGAATAAATACATTGAGTTATAGTGAAAGTTTGTTGGATAAGAATGGAGGTTTGAGTTTTAGTCCAAGGTAACAGAATATTTAGAATTACGAGGAGATAAGTATTCGTAAAGGAATTCCCTTCATAAGGGGAACATAACACCCCGGGGCCTGTTGCGGGGTGGGGTCGGGGGAGGGATAGCATTAGGAGATATACCTAATGTAAATGACGAGTTAATGGGTTCAGCACACCACAGGGCACATGTATACATATGTAACAAACCTGCACGTAGTGCACATGTACCCTAAAACTTAAAGTATAATAAAAAATAAAAAGAAATTCTCTTAAGCACTATAACTTCATGTCATGACTCATACAGATTAAAAATCTCAATATAGATATCTCTAATATTTACTCCCTTCAACAATTATTGTAATCTCTCTATATATTCTAAAGATTTTATAGAACAAATCTATGGCTTCTTCAAATGTATATTATCAGTGCCACTTTCAAACAGACTTTCTGAAATTTTCTAACTTAGGACTACAATGTCCCTTCTTCCTCTAAACAGCCGCTCAATGTCTCATTTTCTATGCTTAGAGGTCCAAGACTATGGTTTACTTTCATTTTAAAGAAAACTTACTGAAATAAGATTTCGATATCAGTGTTATTTACTCTCACCATTAGAATTGTAGAAATATTTTTTATTAAACAACAATTGCTGTTTATTTTGCATGCTGCCAAATGATACTCCTGGATTTATTCACTCATACATGCAATGCATGCAATAATATTTATTGAGCTCTTTTCTACATACCTGGTATTTTTCTAGATAATAAGCAATGACAGTGAATAAAAAAGACCAAGTTCTTACCCTTATGAATCTTACATTTTAATTGGAGGAGACCAGTGATAAAAATAAATAAAAGCCAGTGAATTTGAATGCTATAAAATAAAAGCAAGATAAAATGATAGATGGAATAACGGTGGTCTTCTTTTATATAAGGTGGTCAGAAAAGACCTCACAGAAGAGGTAATTTGAGAACAGAGACCAAAATAAAATGAGATAGTAAGTTATACGGATAAGGGAAAACTCACAGAGTCAGAGAACTGTTCCTAGTAAATGCAAAGGCCTGAGACAGGAACATACCTTGTTTGAGGAATGGTTGAAGCAAGCTAGTATGGCTGGTACAGTGAGCTCATGGGAGAATGCTAGCTATAAGGTATGAGAGGAGAAAGTGGAGTTTGGATAAATAAATCACATATGGCCCTAAGTTAACAAGTTGCATTTTATTCTGAGTGAGCTGGGGAAGGTTTTGGAAAATTTTGAGCTTAGGAAGTTATTCTATTGGAATTGCATTTTTTAAAGAAACACTGGCTTCTTTAGAGAGAATAGATTGTAGGGAGATAAAAGCAAATGGATGAAGACCAGTTAGTAAGCTGTGGTAATAGTTCAATTGAGATAATAGTATATTTGTATCAAGGAAGATATGAAAAGTAATTAGATCCTGGTTGATTTTAAAGAGAGAACACACACATTTTGTCACTAAATTGGATTGAAATTGAGAGGGGATTTTGAGAGAAGGAAAGGAATCAAGGATGATTCTATGTTTTTTTTCCTTAAGCTACTATGTGAATGCAATATCCATTTACTGAAATGGAGATGACTGAAAAAAGCAGAGTGAAAATCAAGATTTCACTTTTGGTGGATTGAATCTGAGATGTCTTTTATACATCCAAGTGCAGAGATTGAATATGAGTCTGAATTTCATGAGAAAGATCAGGGCTGAAGACGGTACTTAAAGCAATTGAATTAGATGAGTACACAGGGTCATAGTAGATAGAAAAGAGATAAAATCTGAGAATTGAGCATTGAAGATCTGTGATATTGAGAGGCTGTGAAGATGAGAGTGATTCACCAAAAGAGATGGTAAAGAACAACCAGAGTATAGGAGAAAGAAAAAAAGGGAATATTGTCCTGGAGGCTAAATGAAGAAAATACTTCCAGAAGAAGTATGGATTTTGCTATTATCAAATAAAATAGGAGAAAGATAAGCCAATGGACTCAGCAAGGTGAAGTTTACTTGGTGACAATAACGACAGAAGATCTGATGAATTTATGGAAACAAATCCTGATTGGAGCAGAGTCAAAAGAGAGAAAGAAAAATAGAGACAGTGAATATAGACAATATTTTAGGACATTTTCTCTAAAGGAGGGCAGAAAAGTGGGGTGGTATCTGGATAAAGATGTCGGGATAAGATAATTTTTTAAAATAGAAGACATTGCAAGCGAATTAACACAGGAACAGAAAAACAAATACCACATGTTCTCACTTATAATTGGGAGCTAAACATTGGACACTCATAGCCATAAAGATGGCAACAATAGACACTGGGGACTACTAAAGAGGGGAGAGAGGGAAAGAGGGAAAGAAGGGCTGAAAAACTAACCATTGAGTACTATGCTCAGTACCTGGGTGATGGCATGAACTGTACCCCAAAACTCAGCATCACACAATATACCCATGTAACAAACCTGTACATGTACCCCATGAATCTAAAATAAAAGTTGAATTACAAAAAAAAGACATTGCAGAATTTTTACACAGAGAATCAAAAAATTAAGCAGGGGGGAGGAAATCAATTCTCAAAGATGGAAAAGGATCAAGTGTAGGAGCAATATTCATAAGTGAGTCAGAGGAAATGTCATTTACTGCATATATGGAGAGACGGACCTTAAATAGAAGCGTGGAGAGTCGTCTGTTCCAGTTGGAGTAAGACAAGGTATATGAGTTTAGATGAAAGTAGGTAGTTTTAATGCTAGAACTATATACACATTACCTTCTTATTGTATCTCTTTCAACAGTAAAATACGGAGCAAGGTTATTAGCTAAGAATAGAGGAAGGCTGTTAAAAGTTTCGGAAATGAGAAGATATAAAATAGTTGTCTCAGAAAATGAGAGAGTGATTTGACTTGGGAAATATGAGAGGATTTCCAGATAACCCAGGAGCCAACCAAAGGTTTGTGGTCATAATTTTAAACTGAGTTCGGCTAAGAGTGGTCGCTCATGCCTGTAATCCCAGCACTTTCAGAGGCTGAGATGGGAGAATTGCTTGAGGCCAGGAGTTCGAGACCAGCCTGGACAACAACATAGTGAGACCCTGTCTTTACAAAAAATTTTTAAAATAGACAATCAGTTGGATGTCATGGTGCACACATGTGGTCCTAGCTACACAGGAGACTACTAAGGTGGAAGCACTGTTCAAGCCCAGGAGTTCAGGGCTACAGTGAGCTATGATCACGTCACTTCACTCTAGTCTGGATGACAGAGACTCTGTTACTAAAAAAATAAAAATAAAAATAAAAAAATTAAGTGAGTTCAGTCAACCTGGATATTTTTCTCCAGTTATATTGTAGGTACTAAGAAGGTGGGTCAGTCGACGTGGCGGTCTTGTCAAGTTGGTGTGACTGAAGGGAGAAAAGGAAAACAAAGATGAGAGAGAGATCTGTGATCGGTCTATTGAAGCAAAGACTGATAAGGAAGAATGTGAGGAAATGAGTCATGCAGAGCGCTAATGTGGTGTGTCAATGGATTTGAGGGCCTGGTGGAACAACAAAAATAAAGGGAGGCACCATAAAAGGGGAGTCTGCCTGTGGAACACTGAAAATGGAGATTATAAAACGAATGCTGTTATTGCAAATGGCAATAGCTTTGGTCTAATCATAGAAATGGGTTAGCTGATGTCATTAGAAGACAAGATAATTGGAGGTGAGGAGACCCAGAATACGGGAAGGATCGTTTTGTGGATATTGAAGTCATCAGTTATAATGACAGGAGTGGTGGTGAAAGAGGATTAAGCAGGTACTAAAACCTTCAGTGGAGGGAGTGGGAGCAATTACCAACAGGAGAGCAGATGACTGCAGCAAGGAAGGTTAATGGGGTTTTGTTTAATCATAGGCATTTCAATGGAGCTGGCATATGAAAAAAGTAGGAGAAATTGTCTTGAAGTAGCAGTGAAGAGCCAGAACTGTATCTACTCAATCTCTAAGTCCAGTGCCACATGAGGTGAGAGAGAAAATACAACCACCATTTGAGAATTCTGCAAGGCAAGCAGAGGCCTCAAAAGAGAGCTGGATTTTATTTAGAGCCTTAAGAGAAGAGGTTGAGGATACAAAGGGCTTTATTGATTATGGACCGTGAGTTATGCAGAAAAAAATTAGAATGTCATGTTTGGATGTAAGACTGAGTCAGAGCAGAGGCTGTACAAAGCTATATGGAGTGCAGGTAAGGAAAGACGACCCATGAATTGTGCCTTTCAGGGTTGAGGGGGTTAAACAGACAGGCATATGATGGGTTACTCCTGATTATATCTTGGAGGCAGGTGGATCATCAGTTTAATTGCATGCTACTAAAATGGGTGACTGGTTTTAAGCACTCTGATGTGGAGAGAACTCAGTGAGTTATGCAGGACAGAGCTGTTGTCTTGCCAGGATGATGCGGCATAGAAGAGATGATTTCAAAGACAGTCCTCTCCCTTAGTGTATCTTTCACGTAACTGTATTCCCATAACAATATTACTTCATCTCATTAAATTTAAAAATATATATCCTAAACAGAAGTGTTCTTCTAAATGAAATGACCATGACCATACAGCATACTGAATGCTTTCCAAGTTCCAAATTAAGGAAAAACTTTATTCTTCTGTTATGTTTCTAATTTTAGTTCAGCCAAAGGAGCGAGACATGTGTTCAACATGTTTTCTCTATTTTCCTTTGGTTCTCTAAGATGCTGACAATTTCTAAGGAAACTAGTTGAAGTAATTTGGCCTCAAAATTAGAGTGAAAGTCACTGAAATTTCCAAAACACCCTAGAAGCTTTTCATTCATATTTTACCTATGCCTTCCTTCTTTACTGTCGTTTTTTCTCTTCAAAGAAGACAATGATTTTGAGATTCTCTGACTAGTAAAACCTTATCCTAAGACCTTACCCTGGTATTATTCTGGCTTTTAATTTTAGTGCTAGAAATTTAAATTAAGCATCCCAGTCAAAAGTTCTGATCCCAGGTGGAAAAATATTGTTCTCGCCAAAAATCATTAAAAGCTAAAGAACTAAGAACCCAAAAACTGAAGAATAAAAATACTTTGAACAACTAGGATTTTCAGTTAATTTTGGAGAAGCACTCATGGGCTTAAAGCATCTCCAATCATTTTATCTTGATATCCTCCAGGGATTGAGTGCTCACTACAAAGCAGTGTATCTGCAAACTTTTACTTAGATACACTGTTAAGTATACAGATTTTCATTTGGTTATTTTTTTTGAGGTAAAAGATAATACTTCTCAAAATTTAGGAAGACCTTTGTGTTGTTCCTTCTTTTTGGGCATAAAATATATTTGGCCTCATAACAGATTTGGTCTTTAATTAAATCTTGCTGTCCCTTAAAGAGAGTGGTTCAGGTATGCTCTTCCCCATACTCCTCCCTCTGCATGACTATAGTAATACATGCATTTTTCATTACATGTAGAACACAGAAAAGTTAAGATAAGTACATACTGGCCAGGTGCAGTGGCTTATGCTTGCAATCCCAGCACTTTGGAAGGCCAAGGAGGGAGGATCACTTGAGCCCAAGAGTTCAAGACCAGCCTGGGCAACATAGTGAGACTCCATCTCTACAAACAAACCAGCCAGGTGTGGTGGTACCTGCCTGTAATACAAGCTACAGGGAAAGCTGAGGTGAGAGGATTGCTTGAGCCTGTTAAGGGTGTAATGAGCCCTGATGGGCCTACTGTACTCTAGCCTGACTGACAGAGAAAGAAGAAGGAAGGAAGGAAAGAAGGAAGGAAGGAAGGAAGGAAGGAAGGAAGGAAGGAAGGAGGGAGGGAGGGAGGGAGGGAGGGGGAAGGGAGAGAGGGAGGGAGGGAAGGGGGGAAGAGGGGAAGGAGGGAAGGGTGGAAAGGAGGGAAGGGTGGAAAGGAGGGAAGGGGGAAGTGGGGAAGGGGGAAAGAAGGGAGAGGGAGGGAGGGATAGCGGGGAGGGGAGAGTGGGCTGCGGGGAAGGCCAGCTTCGCCATTACTCCACAAACTTCTGCTGAGTTTTCTCTGTGATGAGATCAGGACAGCTCTTACCTGGAGGACTCTGAACCTGACTCCCACCTCATGTTTATTTCATGTTACATGCATGAAATAAAATGCATGTAACAATGTTTTGAAGACCTCACCCATATTGCATAAGTATATCTAGTTAAGTTTGTTCTCACTTCTGTATAGTATTCTATCTTAGGTATCTGCCACATTTTACATATTTTCTTCCCTGGAATGACTAATATGTTGGCTTCCAATCTTAGCAATAAGTGTTCTGTATGTTTCTTTGTGCTTCTACGTGACAGTTTCTCTGAAGTGTGAATACCTAGGAGCAGAATTTCAGGGTTCTAGGGAATACACATAATTAGTTTCACTAAGTACTGCCAAGTATTCTCCAAAATGTCTATACTAATTATATTCACATCAGCTTTGATAGCATGTTAATATTAGTAATTACCTATTCATAACAGCATTACTATTGCTCATTATTTTTATTATTTTAATGGTGAAATTTTAATTTTGATATCAAAGCTCTGGAAATTTTTAATATGATTGTGGATGTAGATATGGGAGGAATTTTTGGTTTTATTTTCCTCATTCACTGTCTGCAGACCACACTTTCTCTGCTCAACTCAATGTGTAAGAGTAAAGTTCAAACTCCTGTTAACATCTGCTTTTCATTTATAAATTTGCTTTTCTTTAGTTAAATGTTCTTTTAGGCTAGAGTTTCTATATTGATTGTGATCATTAGCATTTGAAATGTATCAGTTATGCTAAATTCCTCAGTGTTGAGTAACATTTAGGGAAATATAGAAACCTGTAAGTTGCTTGATGACTTTAATTATGACACAAGTCTTTCTTATACAAACAAAGAATTCATCTTTGCAAATTATAAATAAATATAAGCAAATAACATAAAGAATCCTAATTTTTCCCTCTTCAGAAATTAACAGTAGTTTAACTAAAAGCCTGAGATTTCTTGTTTGTTAAGGTGTCGTTTATCGTTAATATCTGTGTTCTGTGGGCAATAGCTTTTATTCTTTTAGGTACAGATATATCAAAATTCCTTCCCACTCCCCGAATTCTTAATACACTATTGGTAGAAATGTAAGTTAGTTCAGCCACTGTGGTGATTTCTTAAAGAACTTAGAACTACCATTCAACCCCACAATCCCATTACTAGGTATATATTCAAAAGAAAATAAATCATTCTACCAAAAAGACACATGCTTATATGTTTATCATAGCACTATGCACAGTAGCAAAGACTTGGAATCAGCCCAGGAGCCCATCAACAGTGGACTGGAGGCTGGGCACGGTGGCTCACCCTTATATTCCCACACTTTGGGAGGCTGAGGTGGGTGGATCACCTGAGGTCAGGAGTTCGAGACCAGCCTGGCCAACATGGTGAAACCCCCGTCTCTATTAAAAATACAAAAATTAGTCAGGCATGATGGCACGTGCCTGTAATCCCAGCTCCTTGGGAGGCTGAGGCACAGGAATCATTTGAACCCGGGGAGGCAGAGGTTGCAGTGAGCTGAGATTACGCCACTGCACTCTAGCCTGGGCGACAGAGTGAGACTCTGTCTCAAACAAAATAAAACAAACAGTGGATTGGATAAAGAAAATGTGGTACATATACACTATGGAACACTACATAGTCACAATAAAAGATTGATATTATGTCCTTTGCAGCAACATCGTTGCTGAGACCATTAGCCTCAGTTAATTAACACAGGAATAGAAAAACAAATACTGCATATTCTCACTTATTGTAAGTGGAAACCAAACATTGTGTATTCATGGACATAAAGATGGCAACGATAGACACTGCAGAAAACTAGATGGGGGAGAGAGAGGAGGTTGAGTAACTATCGGGTACTACCCTAAGTACTGGGGTGGTGGGCTCAAACTTACCCCAAACCTCAGCATCATGCAATATATACATGTAACAAAGCTGCCCATGTACTCCCTCAATCTAAAATAAAAATTGAAATTATAAAATAAAACAGAAATTCCCCTCATATCTGTTAACATGTTCTTACATTTAAGATTCCTTTAAAAAGAAAAGGTATTTGGCAGGACAATATTAAAGATAAAGATTGCCGCTTTAATTTTGATTAATCATTTGGGATTCAGATTCTATAATCCATAATTCGAGTACTGATGAGAGACTGCAAAAAAAAATGGGCCAAATTAAAAAATATATACTGGTTACTCAGAAACACTGCCCAGTTGTTCTTTTTGAGGTAACTTTTTGATCCCAAATTTCCTATACTTCTTGAAAAATAAAAGTCTATTTAAGAATAATTACATGCCAGGTCATTTTGCTTATTGATGATATGGTTCTTGACATTAGCACAAATTATAATAATCAAAAAAAAATGATCCCTAAATTTCTGAGTCAATCTCAAAAGATTTTTAAATTTTAGGTATCTGAAAGCCCTTATACTACCATTACATTCATTGGGGGGTTCATCATAGAGGAAAGTAATAGAAAAATTTAGTGACTTATACAAAATAGGTTATGTGTATGTATATATATATATATATATATATATATATATATAGAGAGAGAGAGAGAGAGAGAGAGAGAGAGACGGAGAGAGACAGAGAGAGAGGGAGAGAGGCTGCATATATCCCATTTAAGTATGTGGTGGGGGAGGTCTTACTTATTCTGGAACATGGTTATGGCTAGCACAAATGTATTAATGCCCTTGCAATGATAGAAGATGAGGTTTTAAGGATAGGGGATAAGGCTTTGGCTTTGTTTATCCTTTGCAAGTAGCACTTTCAGGGTCTAAGGGATCCACCGATTAGGAAAAGTCTGCAACAAGGTATTTTTAGCTTCTTTGAATCTAGATTTTGTTTAAAGTCTCTAATAATAATTTTTTTAAAATAGATCACACCTTGGGAAAATTGAACACTTCAATTTGTACCAACCTCTTGGTGTCAAAATGCAAAACCAAGAAACAAATATAGAAAATATAAACACAAATACACGAGAGGCCAGTCTCACATTCCAAGCCACATGAGATTCCATCAGAAAAAAAGTCTGGGTAAAAATAAACATGAACTCAAACATTACAAGGTACAAAGAGAAGCAGCTGATCAAAAAAGAAGAAAACATAAAAGAGGAGAATTAACATGCTAATATGTTTGAATGAGAGAGCAACTGATTTTAAAATAAATATATTTTAAATGATTTGCTGCTCTAAAGAAGGAGTCTAAATGTTAAGACAAATTTGAAAATTAAAGGAAACTTGGAGAAATAAATAAGGTTTAAAAGTCATTAAAGAAATTAAGCAGCAGATTAATAATAGAGTCCATTTTTGAACCAAAGCTAGATCAAAAAGAAAAACAAATTAGAACTTATAAGATATAGAGATTTTAAAACATTTAAAGAAATATTAATAGATGTGGAAGTTGAGAGACATAGAAGATAGAATGAGGAGAGGTATCAGTCAAACAGGAATTCCGGAAGTAAAGAAAAACAGAAAATGGGAGAAAGGTACGATTTGACTAATTAAATGAAGTGATTTTGGCCAGGCCCGGTGGCTCACGCCTGTAATCACAGCACTTTGGGAGGCCGAGGTGGGCAGATCACGAGGTCAGGAAATTGAGACCATCCTGGCTAACATGGCGAAACCCCATCTCTACTGAAAAAAAAAAATACAAAAAATTAGCTGGATGTGGTAGCACACGCCTATAGCCCCAGCTACTTGGGAGGCCGAGGCAGGAGAATCGCTTGAACCCAGGAAGTGGAGGTGAGCCAAGGTAGCGCCACTGCACTCCAGCCTGGGCAACAGAGCGAGACTTAGTCTCAAAAAAAAAGAAAAAAAAAGAATTTTAACAAGTGCTTCTTACTAGAAGTATTCAAAAAAAAAATGCTAATTCCCTGCTCCTCTTTCCCGCTATTTCTTGCTTTCTAATTAAAAACTGAAATTAAAATTTAAGATTGTTTCGATACCTTCTCCTATAGGCTTGTTTCATAGTTTATGCCCAGGACTTTACATATGCTATTTGTTCATTCTAGTAAGAATGCTACAGTATTGCTTTATTACTTCCATTCATCAGAAGAAGAAACTGAAATTCAGAGAGGATAATAACTTGCATGAAATCACACTGCTGGGATTCAAACCTCATATATTTCACTCCAAAGCATTGTGTTTTACCTCTCTGTTATGATGCTTTCATCTGCAATTTTCTAATATTAATTATATTAAATAGCAAGAAGATTACTTCATCAAAAGATGCTCATGGGATAAAGACTTTTACATAAAACAGAGCAAAGCTCTTTACTGAAAGTAGAAATATGGAATAGAAAGCATGGACATATACATCAAATGTTGAATTTATAAAATTTTTCAAAATTACTATACCATTAATTGGAAAAAATTCATTTCTTTTCCAGATAATATCTTATAAGAAACAATTCAGCCTTAAGCAATTTTTCCCTCTTCTTTATGGAAGGTAAGCTGAGTTTCTAATGGATTTGCTGGCAGCCCTGTAAGCCACTCAGCAAATGCTAGAATAGACAATTTGTGTTCTGGCTTGCTATAATCACATCAAAATTTCTGTTGTGTTTGCTCAGTAAGGGGATGTTTGCTTTCCAGTTGAACTCAAAACAAAAGGCTTGCACACAATCTTATATATGCTTAGTCTCCCATTTCTTTTGTGATGTGTATCTGTGTACACATTCCATTTATTCATTTTTTTCAATATTGTGCAACTGCTATGTGCTAAGCATTGTGTTTATTCCTGAGGATTAATTACAGTGAATATAAAAGTTTTTGACCTCACGGAGCTTACCATCTAATGGAATGGCAAGAAACAATGAAGAAATTAAACAAAATAACTATAAATTTTGATTAAATGCTATGAAAGATACAAACTTAAAGTGTTGACCTATTTTTGATAAGATGATTAAAAGATGCCTTTCTAAGTACTGATTCTAAGTACATGAGGACCATATTTTTTAAAAACTTTTTTACATCAATGGATATTGCTCTGCCAGCCCTGATGAGAATGGCTTAATAGCGGCATTATAGGAATGGGGCAGCTTCATCACATAGCCACTAAATGCCTCTAGGCAGGCTGGCATGTTAAATATGGGACAATCAGAATTGAGAATTCAACAATAGGCAACATATCCAGCTTTCATTTTCTCTCTCCTTCCTTGCCCCATTTACCTTACTCACCATATTTTACTCCCACCCCAAATATTATCTTTACTATGTTCTGCTCCTTCATCCACCGTCAGTCCTAGGACCCACCTCACCACCGTGTATATATGAATGGCAAGTCCTTCTTCCTATCTCCAAGTCTTTGCTCGTGCTTCCCCTTCTGAAGGCTCTTCTCCATTTAGCCCAGTTCAATTTTCCTTCAAAGGCAAATTTACTGTGCAGTTCACCCAACAAAACATGGAAGGCAAAACTTAAAATGTATTCATTCTTTCATTCCTTTATTCAACACACTCCTTTTAACACTAGGCAATGTGCTAGATTCTGAGAAAATATGAAGTGAAAAAATATATACCATGAACATCATTTGTAAGAGATATTATGAGAAACTCTGAAATAGGTGCTTAATGAATTCAAAGTATGAAGAACAAATTTTGCATATCTTAACTTGTCACAGGAAAGAATTAGGATTATTTACAATCACTTGTGAAACCTTACACACATTACAAGAAAATGATAACATTTTAATAAATCATAATAAAAATACACACATAGAAACTGCCATATTTACTTTTCCATGTACGGGAATATATTTATCTCCTTTTTAGTCACTGAATTAATACTCACTGGTGGGTTGTGAAATATATGTACTGGGTTGCAACCAACATTATTTAAAAAATAAAATGGAAAAAGATAGAAGGTATTTAATCATATTGTATGTGCTAAGTGTGAATTTTTCATGGATATTTTGTTCCAATAATATGCATGTGTGGTACCTGGTTGTGACAGAAATTTATTTTTTTTAGTGTGCATCACAGTCAGTACAACTTTAAAGCCTCATGATTAGGCTGCTTATGAAGTCCTCCTAACTGGAGGTTAAACTTTACGCAGCAATAACTGAGGGATCAGTCACTCAACACTTTTGTTCATCAACTTTTCAATCTATAAAAGAAAGACTGCAGATCCTATTCTCTGCCAAACAGTTACTATTAACACAAGATTCCCCCATTCAAATTAACCAAAATAAAAATGTTAGTTGGCTGGAAGTTTCACTTTAAGAATAGTTTTTTTGTTGGTGGTGGTGTGTTAAGGCTGATTCTACAAAATGACTGTCATCGATTGGCAACTTTCTGCTCACCACCTTATTGATTAGCTAAAGCAAATTTTAGTTTTTCCACAAGGACAGGGCCTTGTCTTTCTTCTATAATAATAATACATACTGTAGTGCCTACCATTTATTAAGTAAATAATTGCTGAATGAAAGACTCATTCAATCGGTCCATTAACTATAAACAGTGCTTTTTACAATGCTAAAACAATTCTGAACTACTTATTTTCTTTATAATCTATTTTATATGTCATTTCTATTTCAGTTCAAAATTAGTATGGGAGAGTCTAAGCTAATAAGGTTGCAATGTACATGTTGTACATCAAACAAGCAGAGACAACGTGCAATACAAAAATTACCTGGCTGCCTAATATAGAGCTCCCGGCTAATATATGGGACACGGCAAGCAACTGATCCATGCCTGTTGATTTGATTTTTGATTTGACAGGTGAGTTGGAGAGCAAAGGCACTTAAGCATTCCAATCTGATTTTTCTATTTACATCATTTCCACCAGGGAGAACATGTCTCCTCTGGTCTCACTATGTATCTAAATTTGTGGGCTTATATATCTGTATATGGTTGAAATTTTTACCTGGTTTAATGAGCAAAGCTATGTGCAACTATACCTAAAAACTATTACAAACATTACCTTAAAATTAAAAACAAAAACAGTATATCATCAAGATGCTCAACCTGGTTCCTAAATAAGCTCCTTGATCATGGTTATTTTGTTTAAGCCTGATAATTAACTCTCTCTAGCCACCCAGAGAAAATAAGTAGAAGTAGCAAATTCTACCTTCTGTGCTTTCCATTGGGCAAGAAACTATTTTGTCTGCCACTTTATCTGAAGTTAAAAGCAATGGTTCAAAAAACCCTGACCCCTAATTGGAGACGAATATGACTGACCTAGTTTATGCAAAAGCGGCTTTACCGTGTGGCTTTAGTGCAGACTGGAAGAAACACAGTATTAAACAGTAATCATGAGCAATATTTGATGTTAAGGAAAAAGGCGGGAGTTTTTTATTTGCTAACGGAAAAAATACATGCAAAAAGGCCATTTTCTGACATAAAATATATTCTTCAGGCAAAAATATACATGTTGCTTTCTAATTGTTGCTGGTATTCTTAAGCGTTGAAAGAAGCAATTTTAAATAGTGCAGTTTTATGTGAATTTTTTAAATGACAGGAATTTGATAAAAGGAAATTAAAAGGATTGAAAGGTACATGTTAAAGTTTCGAGAAACATAAGAGCTGGTCAATAGGACCACAGTTTACCTATACAGCTGTATATAAAATCTCACTGCTAAAGACTGAATGTTTATGTCCCCCTCAAAATTTGTATGTTAAAACCCTAACCCTCAATGTGATGCTATTAGAGATGGGGACTTTGGCGGCGGCGGGGGTGGGGGGAAGAGATTAGATTATGAGAGTGGACCCCTCATGAATAGGATTTGTGCTCTTATAAAGAATATCTCACAGAGCTGTCTTCCCCATTTTACCATGTGAAGACACAGGGAAAAGTCACCATATATGAACCAGGAAGCAGGCCCTCACAATGCCTTCATCTTGGATTTCCCAGACATCAGAACTGTGAGAAATATATTTCTGTTTTTTATAAGCCACTTGGTCTCTCGTATTCTGTTATAGCCACCAAAATAGACTAAGACACTCACCAACACAAATGTTTGTATTGGGTTCATATACCAGACTTGCGCAGAAGATAATGACAAAGAAAGAAGTCATATAAAGACAGACGTCTCTCTCGAATCTTGTTCTATTTGGAAAAACATGTTCATATTGGGCTCTGCTCCCTATCCAATCCCCTGACATCCAGAAAAGGGAAATACGGAGAATTAAGGCAAGGAAAGACCAAATTCAATGACATTGTTAGAGTAAACATCACCATCACTGTATTTAGGGTTTCTCTGTCTTTTAGACTTATACCTTTCTGGCTAACATGAGGAGGATAAGAAGGAAAGTGTTTGATCCTATTTAGAAGGATGGCCATAGAAAATCTTGGATCTTCTGGCTTCTGTGAGTTCCTTTCAGGGCTTAAGAAGCAGCAAGTTTCTTTCCTTCACATGGTTTTTCCTAGACCTGGTTTTGGGGCATGAAATAAATCTTAGCATCCTCAACCCAAGAAACTCACAAGGTTTGGGACATGAGCATATTGGCAGTAAAGAGAAAAGGCTTTGTGTTGGTCTATCCTTTGGCTCTGCCTATTGCTCTAAGTAGCTTTCAGAGATGACTGTGAGAGGACAGGATGTGTGCACTTAGGCTCTGGGTTCTTGGCCATATATTATCTCCATCCCAGCAGAGAGCCAGCCATTCTCTCTGTACCTTTCCCACAATACTGCTAAATACTGCTAACAGTTTCAATAATCTCCTTTCCCCTGAGACTACACTCTAAACTTTATGCCCAGAACGAAAACATTTACAGTATTGTCATGTGGGGGCTGGTAACTATATGTAAACTGCCTTAAATAATAGCATAAGTTCTTTAAAGTGTGTGTCTGAATGAAACCAGTTGAAATACAACTTCTTTTGTTACCTTTAAACCACTTATAAGTGGTAAAAATGAAGAAATGTATTTGGGAAATATTTAATCTTAAAAACTTGCTTCAAATAATTTCATTGTTCCTTTAACATAAGTACCTTACGTTTGCAAGTTTTCTAAAACTTTCATCCTATAGTCCCCATGAAGGAGAAGAGTCATAGAAAGTATATTAAAATAGATGTTTCCTCAGTGACCAATGTACAAAAATATCTCTGAATAGTTATTTGTTTCTGTTTGTATGACTTGTCTACCCAGTTTGCTTAACTCTACACACACCCACGCACACAGTTTAAACGAATCAGATATATATGTGTGTATGTGTGTATATGAAATCAGCAAGCAAAGAGGAAGTTTAACATTCAGAATATTCTAGTTTATATTTTGATACATTAGAGGAAAACATTTTTGGAAAATCTAAAAATATTATATTGTTTTCTAAGGAAAAATTATTCTTACAGTAAGCTAGATTGTCTCTGATCCAATATTTTGGTATAAAGAACACAATATAGATATCTGCTAATTATTAACATGTGAGACCTTTCTAAGTGTCAGCTAGTGTGCCAAATGGTTCATGTACATTGTTTTCTTTAAATCTTCCAACAGCTTCCTCAGGTAGGTAACATAATTATTTCCTTTTAGAGTTAAGGAAACGAGGCTTAGAAAAAATAACTTGCTCTAGGGCACATCGGTAGTAAGTAGTGGGGCCAAGATGGGTGTAGAGTCCCTAACACATGGATTTTAACCCAGAATGCTCTGCTTAGCATTCTTGAAGGTCAAGGACTTCTTGACCTTCAAGAAGTCACTGTTTTTACTGAATCACATATTTCTTTCTCAGAAAATATCATGAGACTCTATTAAGAGATATAGACACGCATTGCAAATTTCTCAACTACATTGTTGGAAACTAAAATATCTGAGCTGTTTCTATTTCCACACTGTAATATCATGATCTCTTTTTCTGAATATTATTCTTTTTGAGATTCTCATGGCTGCCTTTTCTAAAAAATTCAAATTTATTGTATGCCTTCCAATGTCAGCAGACAAATTACATAGAGCAATAGGTTTTTGACTAGTGTACATGGCTGGCCTGTTTGTTTCCCATATGCAAGGATGGGATGGAGAGGGGAGGAAAGCATTTGGGAGTGGGGAATGGCTCTAGCTGTGCTATAGATACCCTCACCCGCTATACTCCAATACCATTTCCCCTCCACTTTCAATGACACCCATTTACACTGAATTAAGACTATTCTGGGATTCTACCAGGCAGGTAGATTCACTTATTCTGGAAATAACTTTATTTAATCTGGTAACAGACTGCATATTTTCTATCTGCAAATGGTATATTAAAATATATTTTCCTTTTGTAGTGCCTTCTCTATTATGTTTGTTCCTATAGAATTATTTATATGCTCTCATTGTATTGGGGTCTTATGAGGGAGGTGGGCTCTAGCCACAACTTGAAATAGAAGCTCCTTACTTATTTTTAGAAACAGGAATATATTGATTTTAGAATAAAGAATATTGATAGGATCAACCAAATTTTGTGGCATACGAGTGTTCTGTTGCACATGGTTTGGAAATACATTCCATCCTAGAGCTCTGTTTTTTTGTAAGCACATCATCTTGTCAACATGTAAAACCCTCAATGTCAGGTAACGTGTCTTTTATTTTTCATTTGGCCCTCAAAAATGTATACGTTGAAAGATTTAAATCTTTTGGTTAAAAGGATGAAACTAAAAGAATAACAGACAAGTTTTGTAAATCATAGAGAAACTTAGCATCTTCCTGTTGTACTTCTGCAAGTACCCATCATTTATTTCCTCAGCTGTGACCTTTTCTGTGATACAAAATAGAAAGGTTAAGAACTTTTAAATATTATGTAATTTGTTACCTTTAAGAAAGGATATTTGGGGTATGTGTCTACAGTAATTAACACCTGCTTGTGTTTTATAAACATTTCTAAGTATTGAAATATACATGTTCTTCAATCCAACCGCAAAACAACCTCAAGAAGTAGGACAAGTATTTTTAACTGCAACTCATAAATGTAAAGGTTAGTGACTCTGCCAAGATTTTCAGTTCGTGGTAAATCTGAAATTGAAATGAAGTCTTTTGACTCCTGAGAGATAGGTTTTTACATTAATCTACATTTTTGTTCAACAATTAAACTTCATCTATATCTCGTAGGTAATTTTTCTAGACTTTAGGACAGGTAAGAGTATGCATATGGAAATAGAAGGATGGCAAAAGTAAAGTATGGAAAAATATTCAAATGATAAATCATAGAGGAAGTTAGAGGAAAAACAATCCAGGTTAGTAGCTGCAGGGAAATTTCAGGCTCAGCTGGTCCTTTCATAATCAGGGAGAGGAAGTCATACTCATAAGAACTGTAAAATATACCACTGCCCAACTTCAGGCCAACACACAAAAGGATGAGACTTCTCTCTTCAACCTAAACGTGGCCCATGTGTTCAGGCCAGCTCCTCTGCCTAACCTGAATATCATCCTCCTCTGTTTTCTCATAATAAGAACTCCGGGAAAAGCTATCAGATCAACCATGTGGTGAATCCCTACTTCTTTTTTCTTATGCCTATCCCAGTTGTTACGTGAGAAATTAACTGAAAAAGAAAAAACACAGATGTCCCTGTCTCTTCAGCAGGGAGTCAGACAGGCCTATAAGCTGAGTACTCATCAGCACAAAAACTATGATGCAATTGCTCAGACTTTTCTTTAATTATTATAGAATTATGAGATTTTGGAGTTGGCCTAAAGACAGTAAGGGCAGGAGAAAACAGAAAAGTATTTCAGTAGTTGAGGTATCTAAAGAGAGATGTTTTTAGAGAAAAGATCATCTTTCTCTTGCCCTTTACTGGTAAGACAGAAAGGAGGGGAAGAGAGAGAAAGCACAACTTTTATGTCTTTAAGAAGTTTTCTATATTTCAGTAGACAAGAAAACTGAAAATGATAAAGAAGACACTTTATGGTTTCTAGGTTATATTAATTCAGGACCCAAAGAAAAGATACTTTCTATTATTTCAAGAACTGTAAAACAGAGAAGTGAGAAGGTGGACAAAGACTTTTAAAAAAAACTTTTATACACATAAGGAGTCATGCCTCCATATGTGATGTTGGTATATTCATTACATTCAGTAGAGATAAAGAATTATCCTCCTAGTAATTAATAGAAAATACCAGAGGAGAAGTTTTCTGGGGGTGGTAGTGTTCTAGCCAGTACATTTATTTATATCACAGTTTAATAAAACATTTCAACTTTAACAAACCAATTTTAGAAATGAAATTATGAATCATATAATTTCTGTTAGTGAAATAACTTTTGCATTGGACATTATGGGCCTAGTAAGTTGTCAGATACGTAGTAAGATTAGAGGATAAAAGGGGGAAACAAAATTATTGATACCTAATATGTATACATCTATATTATTAAACACTTTGTTACTGCCTTTAGAAGAGAAGAAATAAAGGTCTCTGTAGTCTTGGTGAGGAACCTAGAGACATTGCCAAATGAATATTGAACATATGAAGAAACATACACTTTCAAACTTAGGGTAGTCTTCTCGTGTTCTCCGTCTATATTTTATCCACGTTTTAAGATCAAACTCAAATTCTGTCTCCTTTGTAAAACGTCTCTTCTTATCCAGTCTCAACTGCTCTCTGCCCTTCATCATCCAAACAGGTCTGTCTAGTTAGTGTTTGTCTGGATCCTTCATTTGGCAATCAGTCATATCCTACATTACGACGTGACTTGCTTTTTCTTGAAAATGTTTTAAACCTCCCCTTTCCAGGGAGACCATAGCTTTTTAAGAGCAGAAATAATTTATTCTATTATTTTTTGCTCAATAAACACTCATTGATTTTTTTATTTGGGAAAAAAACAGAAAATGAGATCTAGCATATCAACAATGTAGTCAATTATTCACTGACAGCTCAAAGAGGAGAAAAATTGGTATAGACAGAAGCATTTGGGAAATCTTCAAGTAAGAGATAGAACTTGAACTGGGCCCTGAAAGGTAGAATAACTTGGGGAGAAAGTGCACGTTAGCTGAGGCATTTGAAGTAAACTACCTACCATGCAATTTCAACGTAGCAGGGACTTATATACTACTGCCTAAACAAAGAGTCTGCCTCCCAAGATGAACCTATGAATTACTGTTAGATGGTTCAATATGACTTTAAAGATGAGATTTTGGGGCTGCAATGAGTTGCTAGTGAGGTCATGAATATTATCATGAGCACTAATTCTAAGATATAGAATTAATAAAATGTAATAAGTTCCACTTTCCCTTTTCCCCATCTTTTTTTTTTTTTTTTGGCCCTTCTGGATACTTGTAATTGTGGTTGAAACAAAACCACATTTTTTCCATAAAAAAAGAAATAAAAATATGAAGAGATAGAAACAGCAACAGTGAAGCTAAATTGAACCAAGATTGGTCAGAGTGCTAAACACCATCTTTTTTTTTTGGGTGGTGGGGGTTGGGGGAGGAGATGGAGTCTCGCTCTGTCGCCAGGCTGGAGTGTGCAGTGATGCAGGGGTGCAATCTCGGCTCACTGCAGCCTCTGCCTCCTGCGTTCAAGTGATTATCCTGCCTCAGCCTCCCAAGTGGCTGGAACTACAGGCACGCCCCACCATGCCCAGCTAACTTTTTTTGTAGTTTTAGTAGAGGCATGGTTTCACCCTATTGGCCAGGATGGTCTCGATGTCTTGACCTCATGATCCACCCACCTTGGCCTCCCAAAGTGCTGGGATAACAGGCATGAGCCACTGCACCCGGCCTAAATACCATCTTTAATTCACAGTGCAGGGTTGTACTACATTAAAGATTTGGGATTTTTGATTGAAAATATATGTATCTTTAAGCATAAGTGATTAATAATGAAATATGATTTTAAAAGAATCCTATGTTAAATTGCAGCAAGATCCTAGCAAGAAATGCATGGCACCCTCAGCTGGGATTTTTGAGACACTCTGAATACATTCCTTTTTCTATCATCTTTGCCCTAAAGTACACCTCCCTCCCTTTGCCCAATGCCTGATATTAGCAGGTAAAAAAGATACTATAGTCTAACAGGCCTAGTCAATTCTCTAAACTGCCTAAGCTCAGGACCCATTTAGGCAAGAAAAGGTGTTTAGCTTCGTCAGGAGTTTGTAATACCCCCAGCACTTCCCGTTTATGAGAGAATTGAAATCTAGGCTTCTACTATAAGATTTCCCACAGGTTCTTTTTTCCTTTATTCAAGAAGTATTATCTGGGGGAATTGAATAAAATTATATTGATATTATTTTTAATTGACAAATTATAATAGGCTGTATTTTTCATGAAAGTACCATCCAGAGGTGAGACAAATGTTAATAGGTAGGATTAAGGGAATCAAAAAGCAACGTAGAAGATCTAGGGACTAGCAACTGTGGGAAGCTCTGCACCTCTATAAAGGGTCTAGCTTTCTAGGACAGTCTTTTCCCTTATTCAATCCCGATTTCATCCAGCCCCATCTTCCTCCACAGTGCCTGAAACTAAGGTCAGCGTATAGCCGGTATTGAGATGCAGCCTTTTTCTCCCCATTTCTAACTCCTCCTCTCTTAGCTCTTAGTTGATGCATCTTTTTTCAAACTAGTTTGATTCCCCCAATAATAAGGTTTAACAGAATTTTCTACCTCTCATATTGCAAAATTACTGCATTATACTATTGACTGTTATCACACCCAGATGGTAGTATTAATTAATCAATACTTATAATAGGAAGATGAGGTATACAGAAACCGCTCAAGGGCACCCAGCTAATATATAATAGAATAGGTGTTCAGTGACTACCTTTTGTCTATAAAGGAAAGCCCTAACTCTTTTCATTAAAAAAGCCTTCACAACCCATCCCATCCCCTATCATGTTTCCCCTTGACCTCTAGCCACTTTCTTTATAAATTGCTATAGACTGAATTGTGTTCCCCAAAATTCATATGTTGAAGCCCTAAGCCCCAATGTAATGGTATTTGGACATGGGGGCTTTGAGAGGTAATGAGGGTTAGATGAGGCCAAGAGGGTGAGGCCCTCATGATGGTGTCACAGGATCCTTGAGGTGTCACATTTCCAGCTGGAAACCTCTGTGGCCAGTGTGCCTTTGCCTGAGTTATGGTCAGCATGCTGGACTTGTTCTACCCACTTAGCCCAGCAGGCTGCGCTCAGCTCACACTACTGGCTCAAATCCCACGCCTGCCAAGGGTGAGTCAGGCACAGAGCAGTGAGGGGTGTGTGAGCAAGTGCAGGGTCTGGCCACTGTGCACAGCCAGGTACGCCAGCTGCAGCAGGGTGGGCAGCTCCAGGCAACAACTCCATACAAGGCTGTGGCTGGACCAGGGATGCTGCAAGCAGCTTCAGCTGCAGGCACTAGGGAACACGATGGTGCCCAGAAGCCTGGAAACACCAGGAAACACAGAGCCCCAAAGAGGGCATAACAGCCCTGGCTCAGGGAGCACCTAAGTCTGGACTCCCCAAAGAGCAACAGCTCTCTCCTTCTTATAGCTCACAAGGTGGCAAGCAGGGGACATGTTTCAGCACTATTTGTGTTACAGCTCTTTCAGTATCGCCATTCGGTGGGTTTGGGTTCTTGTCCCACATCCAGGAAGAATGACGTACATGGACAACTGGAGGGTAGCAAGGTGGAGAGGAGCTTTGTTGACCAACAGAACAGCTCTCAGGAGACCTAAAGTGGGTAGCTCCTTTCCACAGGTACATTGTCCCAATGAGAATCCAGCACTCAGCAGAGAGGAGACCTGTGGTGGGTAGCTCCTTTCTGCTGGCAGGTCATCCCGATGAGTTGAGGAAACCCTATGTGGGTGGCTCCTTTCCATAGCTGGTAGCCCTGACATCTGTGTAAGTCTGGCTGAGTCCAGGGGTTTTTGTTTGTTTGTTTTGAGATGGAGTCTCGCTCTGTCACCCAAGCTGGAGCACAGTGGTGCATTCTTGGCTCACTGCAACTTCTGCCTCCCGGGTTCAAGCAATTCTCCCTGCCTCAGTCTCCCAAGTAGCTGGGATCACAGGCACCCAGCACTGAACCTGGCTAATTTTTGTATTTTTAGTAGAGACAGGTTTTGGCCATTTGGCCAGGCTAATCTCAAACTCCAGACCTCAGGTGATCTGCCCACCTTGGCCTCCCAAAGTACTGAGATTACAGGCATGAGCCACCACACAGGCCTGAGTCCAGGGATTTTATGGGCTCAGAAGGGAAGAAGTGCATGCTGATTGGTTCAGGGGCAGCCATGGGCAGGCCTGGAAAAAGCATCATCCAACAGTCTGAATGGTCATCAAGGAAGTCCTCGCTGAATGAGAAGGTCAACCAGAACTGGCACCCAGGTCCCCAGGCTTCAGGCCATTTCTGACCAAAGTGGAGTTTCGACAGGGACCGTACCTTCCCGTCCTGTCTGCCTCCCACCATAGAGGGTTGCCTGCAGGCCCATGCCAAGCCTCCCTCAGTGCCTCCCCACCAACATAACAACCCGCCTCCCAAAGTCTGGCCAAAGTCCAGAGAGGACCAACTCCAGAGGGACCAGGGGACTGGCGTGTCAGTGCCATCCTGAGTGCATGCACACCCAGCCGTGTTTCGACAGCATCCAGGGTCAGCTGCAAGTTTGCTCTGCACCAGAGAGGACACAGGGTGTTGGGAGGCCTGGGAGCAGGAGCAAGCACTTCCGAGCCTGAGGGAGGAAGGGGGTGCTTCCCACCCAGACAGCACGCAGGAATGCCTGGGTCTGGAGCCTCAGTTGGGCAGCTGCAGCTGTGCCCACAAGTACAGGCCTCCTGCCCCACCAACTCCCTAGGGGGCATGACTCCCACCTGTGCTGAACCCTGCAAACTCCAGGGAGCCTGCTGCCCCAGCAGGACCTCCCCTGCTGAAGCTGGCATCCCTGCAGGCTGCTCCAAATGGGCCGCTGCAACCATCATTGGGATTAATGGCTTTACAAAAGGAAGAAAAGAGAGATTGCTAGCTCCAGCATGCAAGGACATTGCAAAAGGTGCCACCTGCAAGCCAGGAAGACCCTCACTAAAAGGGGAATCACCTGGCACATGGATCTTTGACTTCCTAGCCTCCATAAAATAAATTTTTGTTGCTCATGTTCTCAGCATATGGTGTTTCATTATAACAACGTGACCTAAGACCAATGTGGTATGCCTTGCTACAAAAAAAAACTATCGACCTTTCTCTGAATGTGAAAGTGATTAAAACATCATACCTTTGCTTAGTTTTCCTCTGCTTTCAGTGTTCTTTAACCACCTGCGCTTCTTCCGTGCAACCTCCCCACATTCGCCCTGAACAAGCAGGCACACCTATTATGCCTGGTAATACTCTAAATTGCTTTTCAAAATTCAGCTCTCTACTCCCTATAAGCCCTTCCTCAAATATTTCAGGTAGAAGAAATCCTTTCCTTAGCACTATTCAAGGAGCTTTATTAGGGAGATAGATACTCTGTTTCTCCAGGGATTTAGACTGATTCATCTTGGCTTATCAGCATCTAGCAAGGTTTTTGCCATCTAGAAAGTTTCCAACATTTATTACATTAATGAGATGATGAATGAAAGAAGGAAAGAATGTAAATATTTAAGTCAACCAGAAACTGAACAAAGAAACTTGTATTTCTGGAGTATATTATTTGAAATAGTCAATCTTTGATGAATAAATTTCTGTTTAAGACTGAAATTGGACCTTATATTCCATTTGTGTTAGCCTGCTACTATTTAATGGCACTGTGTATATAAGATATCAGATTTTAAAAACAACGAAATATTTCAAAATATTTCCCAATTTTTACTTTTGTGTGCATTACAATGTGTTTATTTTTCTAAGAATGCTTTCAGAAATGTGATATCTCAAATAACAATGAAACTCTTCTGCAATAACATGCCCACAAAATCAAGAATTTCGCTATGTCACACCTAATCAGTGCTTCACAAATGAGGACTTTCTACATTAGAATCTCTTGTGATTAGTAATAAAATTTAGATAACTGGAATTCACCCCAGACCCCCTACATCAGATCTTTGGGGAATAAGCCCAGAAATTTTCACTTTAATACGTTCATCAGTGAATTTCCAAAAACACTTATGTTTTCTTGGATGTCAGCATAGATTGCTTTCTTATCTCCTTTAGGTTTTTATTGACAGCAAATACGTCTCAAAGATATCTTCTCTGATCACTCTGTTTGAAACTGTAACCTCCCTATCTCAATATTTTATGTTCTTTATCCCCCTTCATTACCTTATTTTTGTCCCTAAAATTGATCACTCTCTGAAACTCTCTGTATATTGCTCATTTATTGCTTTGTCTGCCCTCTTCCAACCCACTTCTTGGCAACTAGAATATAAACTATGAGAACAGGTATTTTTAAAGACTATGTTTTTCTCACTGTTGTATGTCCATTACCTAGTAAAGTCCTTGACCATTATAGTGTTCCATAAATATTATTAAATAAATGAATCACTCCATCAAGTGTTTTTGAGTTCACATACTACAATATTAACATTCGTTTACCTCCTTTCTCCCATCAGAGAGAGATCTCAACTCTACCTCTCCCAGAAAAAGAAAAAAAAGCAGTGTATAATTTGGATCTGTAGATGAATGTTTCTTTGAAATATGTCTTGTGTTCTTCACACTACAACCTAGCAGAAAGCTTTTACTCTCTCTCTTCATCATCACCATCTTTGTGTATTTCTTTGATGTCAAACTCTAAGGTCAAAGATGGGGTGAGGATGAAATTAAAAGAGAAAAATCAAGAAGTGTCAACCTTAATGGTAGCAATAAATAATGTTTGAAAAGCTTCCTAAGAATAGATGACACAGTCTGTGTAGGAGTATGTAAATGATATGCAAATCAGAAACTAATTTTAATGCAAATGCATATGTGGTCCTCCTAACTATTTCATGCACCTGGATAGAACCCCTAGGAAAACTCTAGTGGAGAGAAATATGCTCTCAGCAATGTTTTAATGACTGGGTGGATTGGAGAGCAGAGAGTACCACACCTGGCATGCATTAGAGGACCTGCTAGTTAGCTGCTAAAAACAAGCTTTTATATATGTAATATTGTTTTGCAGCTTGGGTGAGCTACCAATTTGAATTGCACACACCTTAGCGTACCTGTGCTATAAATGGGTATAACATTGCTTTGCCTCAACCTAGTAGACAGTGTTTATCAGCTAACACATTGTTTAAAGCAGGCATGTAGAGACATTTTTGGAGCAAAGGTACTGCTAAATATAAATTATCCCAACTCAGTGCTATGGTCATATTTCATTATGAAATATTTCACTATGTCTCACTGGGTAATTTGCATCCTCTGAGTAATATGAATTTTATAAAATGGAGAAAAACTGTTGTAAAAATAACATTTAAGGTAAAATAAGTTTGCCACTGTTGTTTTGAGAGCTTAAATATCATCAAAATTGACAGGAGAATAAAAAAAGGCCAAAAGGAAATGTCTCAGTTCAAAGACCATATATGGGAAACAGAGAGACCAAGTACTATTTTGTCTTATGACAGCACTGCATAATTTGTCTGTTCATTATGGAGAAAGAAAGAGAATTGTATTAGGTCACACTTTTTTTTTTTTTTTGAGACAAAGTTTCACTCTTTCTCCTCTGCCCTCTGGGTTCAAGTGATTCTCCTGCCTCAGCCTTCCAAGTAGCTGGGGACTACAGGCTTCCACCACCTCACCTGGCTCATTTTTGTATTTTTAGTAGAGACGGGTTTTCACCATGTTGGCCAGGCTGGTCTCGAAATCCTGGCCTCAGGTAATCCACCTGCCTCAGCCTCCCAAAGTGTTAAGATTACAGGCGTGAGGCACTGCACTCAGCCATATTAGACCATTCTTAAATTACTGTAAAGAAATACCTGAGACTGGGTGATTTATTTATTTTTTAAAGAGTTTTAACTGGCTCACAGTTCTACAGATCGTACAAGAAACATAGTGGCCTCCACAGAAGCAGAGGCCTCAGGAAGCTTCTAATCATGGTGGAAGGCAAAAGGGAAGCAGGCTCATCACATGGTGAAAGTAGGAGCAAGGAGGGGGTCGGGGAAGTGCTGCACACTTTTTAACAACCAGTCTAGAGAAAACTCACTATAGTGAGGACAGCATCAAGAGGATGGTGCTAAATCATTCATGAAGGATCCACCCTCATGCTTCAATCACCTCTCACCAGGTTCCACCTCCAACAGTGAGAATTACATTTTAACATGAGATTTGGGTGGGGCAAATATCCAAACTATATCAATAATCATGAAAAATTATCACCGTACATTTCTACAGCCTTTTATTATTATCAGTGCTCTTCAGACTATTGTCTCCACTGACTGTTGTGACAACAACTAGATATGGCTCCATTATGACCCCTATTTTATTTTTTAAAGTATTTTTAAAAGTAAACCAAACTTTTGTTTCTGGCACCATGACTGGCAGTGTGCTCTAAAGGGCCTTCCTGCATCAATACATCATGTATTGTATAGAATACATGTTTTATGGTATCACTGTTCTAACAGAAGTAACTCTTAACATCTCTTATTTTCATATGGGAGATGCAGGATTTTTCTGAGAGCCAACTACAATGCCATTGGTGTGATCAGGATAATGAGCTTTGAGCTAATTGTGTGGTAGGGCAGTTACCTGTACTGTTTCAGGTCAAGGGAGATGGTTAATTGGACCCAGTTTCTAGGTAGAATCTTCTGGCTTCCAGCAGACACCGAAGCTGAAGCAAATATAACTTCATGCTACTCCAAGTGTGGTCTGAGGACCAAGAGCAGAGGCATCATCTGTGAGCAGGTTAGAAACCCAGACTCTTAGGTCCCAACCCAGATCTATTGAATTATAATCTATATTTCAGTAAATTATTCAGGTGGTTCTGATGGATATTATAGTTGGAAAAGAATTGTTGTAAACAGAAATATTTCTTAATATAGGCCCAAAAGACAGCAAATGTAAAGTAATGATCTCAGAGTTACAAACTACAAAGCACTCAAAATAAGAAATATATGGTAATTCTATTTTTTATTTATGAACCTCCATGCTATTTGCCATAATGGCAGCACCAATCTACATTCCCATCAACGCTGGGTACATTCCTTTTCTCCATACCCTCACCAATATTTGTCATCTCTTGACTCTTTGATAAAAGCCATCTTAATGAGTGTAAGGTTATATCTTAAAGTCATTTTGATTTGCACTTCCTTAGTGATTAATGATGCTGAGCATCTTCTCATAAAACTGTTGACCATTTTTATTTCTTCTTTGGAGAAATGCCTATCCAGGTCCTTTACCCATTTTTAAATCAGGTTATTTGCTTTTCTACTATTGAGTTGTATAAGTTCTTTGTGTATTTTGGATATAAATCCCTTATCAGTTATATGGTTTGCAAATTTTTTTTACCAATCTGTAAGCTGCCATTTCTTTTTGATAATTGTTTCTTTAGCTGTGCAGAAGCATTTTTAGTTTGAGGTAGTCTCATTTGTTTTTGCTTTTGTAGTCTGAGCTTTTCTTATGATATCCAAAAATCATTACCAAGGCCAATGCCAAGGGGCTTTCCCCCTGTGTTTTCTCCTAGGGGTTTTTGTGTCCTATGAATCCCTCTTCTGGGCATAAACTTATTGGAAATAAGATTACCATCCCATAAAGATATCTTCACTTCCACTTTCACTGTATTACTATTCATAGCTGCCAAGACATGGAAACAATCAAAGTGTCCATCAACAGATGAATGGGTATGTGTGTATACACACATACACACACACACACACACATATATATAGGAATATTATTCAGCCATAAAAAGGGAGAGCCTGCCATTTGCTGCAACTTGATAAACCTAGAAAACATTATGCTAAGTGAAATAAACCAGACACAAAGGAAAATATTTCATGATCTCGCTTATATATGTGCTCTGAAAGAAAAAAAGAGCCAAATACATAGAAACAGAGAAAACAGTGGTTACCAGGAGTGGGGTGGGGAGATGTAACTTAGAGGTTATAAAGTAGCAGATATATAGGCCGAATAAGTCTAGAGATCTAACGTACAACATGAAGACTGTAGTTGACAAACTTATACTGTATTTGGGATTCCTGCTAAAAAAGTAGATTTTAGCTGCTTGCTTAAAAAGAAAAATCAAAATGACTATGCGATATCATAGATATGTTAATTTGCTTCACTATGGTAACCATTTTACTATCTATATGCAGTAACATCATATTGTATACTTTAAATATACACAATAAAGTTTCTCTTCAAAATAAAAATATAATTGTTGAAAGAAAAAGAAAAATCACAGCAGATTAGACATAGCTAAAGATAAAATAAATGAGCTGGAATACATATGTGAATAAATTATCCAGAATGTAGCACTAAGGAAAAGATGATAAATTCAAAAATGAGCCTAAGAGCTACATAAGACAGATTGAACCTATTAGCTCATATACTTGGAATGCTGGAAGGACATATTAGAAGTAATATTTTTAAAAAGTAATGACTTAAGTTATACAGCACCAATCAAAAGTAATAAATTCACTTGTCTTCATAAAACCTGCCTATATATTGAAATCAAATGTCAGAAGGCCCTAAAGACAAAAATATCTTTTAAAAAGTCAGAGAAAAAAAGAGATCACCTAAGAAAGAAAAACAAATAGAATGACAGCAGAGTTCCCAACAGTAAAAGTGAAAGAAAAGTAATTTAATAATATTGGCCAACTTAGATTGTGAAGCCAGCAAAACTACTTTCAAAAGAAAGGACAAAATTTAAATGTTTACAGAAAAAATTAACCTTAGAGTGTTCAGTGGACTGGAAAACAAACTGTCACTATGCTTCTACAGATTCAATGTGTGCTTTCATCTCTAACCCATGTTCCTTGTTTTGTGTTATTTTTAAACTTTTATTGTAAGTTCACGGGTACATGTGCAGGTTTGTCACATAGGTAAACGTGTGTCATGGGGGTTTGTGGTACAGATTATTTCATCACCCAGGTAGGTATTAAGCTTAGTATTCATTAGTTATCTTTGGCTTGCATACCTAAACTTAATTTCTTTGTAGAGGGGTGAGAGGGTCATTTCCTGTCAATCATATTTCTTATTGATCTTATTCCTCATTATAGGAAGCTTATTCCTAAGAGTCAGTGCATATTTTCAAGATCCAGTCACCTGCCCTAATCACATGATTTTTGTGTTACCCAAAACATTGACTGCTTACATCCAAATATGCCTAATTCCCAATGCGTATTTGACTGAAGAACTTCCATCCTATGGCCCCAGTAACATGTGCACATGGTTTTTTTTTTTCTACAGGAATTGAGAGCTGGCTATACTTTGGGCATTTCATAGCCCTTCCATTTACTTTCTCGTTTAATGAATACCGTGGTATGCTGAACAGAACACCAGGATGTCATTGCCAGATGAGTCTGTTCTAGCGTTCATTTCAAATTTCTAGGCAAGGGATCTAAATAATTTAGTCTCTAATTCTCAAATGCTTTTGCTTCCTACCCTCATCTTGACTGCTCCCACCTGAATTCTGATAGATCAGTTTTGTTTTTTTTTTGCCTCATTCTTATTTTAATCTGCATTGCTTCTGCTGTGTCCCATCAATGAACATTAGTCACCTTTAAAGCACTATCTGGGGCCAGGTGCAGTGGTTCACACCTATAATCCCAGCACTTTGGGAGGTTGAGGCAGATGGATCACTTGAGGCCAGGAGTTCGAGACCAGCCTGGCCCACATAGTGAAATCCCTTCTCTATTAAAAATACAAAATTAGCTGGGGTGGTGGTGCACACCTGTAATCCCAGCTACTTGGGAGGCTGAGGTAGGAGAATCCCTTGAGCCCAGCAGGTGGAGGCTGCAGTGAGCCAAGATCGCACCCCTGTACTTCAGCCTGGCGACAGAGTGAGACTGTGTCTCAAAAAAAAAAAAACCACACACACACACACACTATATATATATATATGTGTATATATATGTATATATACACATAGATATATGTCTATAGATATATATGTATAGATATATATACCTACATAGATATATATGTATAGATATATATATCTACATATATATGTATATATATATGTACATAGATATATATGTATATAGATATATATATGTGTATATATAATCACAATCCAAATACCAAGGTTTTGAGGCCAGACCAATTATTCAGAAGTCTGAAATGTTCTAGCAATCTCATTCCCAAATATTTCTCTCTCAGAGTCTATGGTTGCCGGAAATGATTGGGATTTTCAAACCTGTCATATGCAGCCCCACAGCAATTCTGCTCTGATATCCACGGCTCTCATCACTTGGGATTTTGTTTCTAATAGGTTTCTGTTTATTTCACCGCCAGGGCTTTTTTGACCTTCTGCTGTTAATTTTTAGTTCTCTTTTCCCCTGTAGAGGGCAAACACCTTGCACTACCTATCACCAGTTCTGTCAGGGGAGCTCAGAAAGTGAGCATTGGTCCCTGAATGCAGAGACATTTCCCTGAGATGGAAACCCACCCCTTTCAAGCAAGTATGGCACTCTGCAGGTAGGAAAGGAGGAGTTGGTCTGATGTGTTTCACACCTTATTTGGGACCATTGTTTTGACAGCATTTCTCCAGATTCCTTAACTCACAGAAATTTTTCTTTTAAGAGGTTTCAGTTTTTCTTCAGTTCAATCTCCTTAGGGAAAACCAAGTTTTCCAATTGGATTTGTACATGTTTAAATGCCATATGAGGGATGAATTCAAGTTATTTCCCACTGTGCTCTGTGTTTCATGAATATTAAGTTATGAGGACTGAACCTCTGTTTCAAACTCCTAGAATGGTCCACAGTAAGTAAGACGCTCTTGGATGCTTGACCACTGGAGGCTGGTTTGCTAAAAGCACAGAGAACTGTACCAGGTAATGAACAGCTCCCTAATTTTGACTTGAATTCTCTCATTATCGTTTGTCCCCCGTGATTTCCAGCTCCTTCTGAAAGACAGGGAGAGTCCCTGATAATTGAAACATTCCATTTGCCCCTCCCTATGTAGGCTATGAATCATTTTCTATTTTTTCAGTGGACAATTTGCTAGGTCATGTGATTACAATGCATTCGATCCAGTTTAGCTCTGTAGTAAATTTTCTAAGAGTTTTTTCTTTTTATTCCTTGGTAAAATAATGTTCTCTCTTTTTATTTTAATAGGGCATATGGTTTACAAGAATAAGAATACATTTCTCAGAGCCATTTTTTTTTTTTTTGCTGAGTATGGTCATATGACTATGTTCTGGCCAGTGGGAGGTGAGCAGAACTGCTTTGTGACATTTTCACAGACTCTTTCTTAAGAATTATTGTATGTTCCCCTTGTCTTCATGTTTTCCACTGCTGGAAACACAGATGACATAACACCAAGTAGGACACAAAGAGAAGAATCTTTGGCCCCAAACACTATATTATTTACGCCTTGATGTGCCAACCCAGACTCTTATGTGAAACAGAAATATACTTCTAACCTGTTTTGGCCACTGTTATTTGGGAGGTTTCTTTCACTCACACACAACCAAATCCTAATCTCTGATAAGTTGTGTAGAAATGTCCTACTTGATGCTTGAAGCCCAATTTGCCTGATCTTACCAGTTCCACTCCTCGCTTGTCTTCCCATTTTCTCAAACTTTTATGCATGGAGAGCTTTGCTAGGATATAGATGACTCCTTGATTTTGACTTCAGTTCTCTCACTCAAGTCAAATTATCTCATTTAAAATGGTAAACTTTAAAAAGAGAGAGAGATTCTGAGAATCGTTCATTTATGTTCTTGCTTCTTCCCTTCAGTGTGAGAGGTGAGCCAGTTTCCCCAGGCCTCTGATTTCATGCAATGCTCTGCTATAGCTTTCAATTTTTTTTCTCCTCAGCTCATTGATTGCACAAATACTTCTCTAGATACTATCTGACCCCACTCAGTTCTGGGTCTTCTGGAGCCATAACACACCCTCTGGGGACACAATTGGACACACCAGGCCATTCAAGACAAAGGGTTTGTGTTCTCCAGCTTGTCCCTTAGTTTTCCCTGTAGAAAGCTTTGTAAAACTCACTTCACTTCACCATTTTACCTAGGACAGATGAAGGAACACAGAAAGAAAACTAATTTCTATGGAAAGAATATATTGAAAGCACTCGAATAATATAGGAAAGTGGCAAACTGTTTATCTGTCAAAACATCTTCCCCAACTCACAGGCCAGCCAAACGCTTTTGAGTGGTCGGATGTTATTTCTTTTACCATGCTGAATTGACCTTCTCCAACCACCTTCCCTGAGATGCTCCTAATTTCCCCCATATGAATGTCTCTTAT
Organism: Homo sapiens; assembly: GCF_000001405.40. Taxonomy (NCBI): domain Eukaryota; kingdom Metazoa; phylum Chordata; class Mammalia; order Primates; family Hominidae; genus Homo; species Homo sapiens. The sequence goes on from NC_000002.12 coordinate 49,782,235, forward strand.
TTTCAGCGGCATGAATAGACAATAAAAAGTTACACCCTTCCCTCAGTCCTAGAATAGAATGTCCATTATCATTAATGATGATCATAACCTGAGAAAGCAGTCAATTGGCCTCTTAGCATATGCCTGCATGCTACATAATCAGACTTCCTGGGGATTTGGTCTCCATTTGATAGGACAGGATTAATTCAGCATAAAAACATTCTCTGGCCTATTTGAACTTTGAGTAGAGTACAAAATGACCTACTGTGACTATATATTTAACTTTTCTGACAGTTACTATTTTTTCCAACTCCTTGTTCATTGTCTTGCCAAAGTGTTTATGTGAAAAGATTCTTAAACTCTTACAACTACACCTATACTGGAATGGTAATACTTTTTTTTTTTTTTAACACCACCATATAGTCAAGAAAAGCCATGGCAGGAAGCAAGCAGGAAATTAGTATTAGCAAGGGATGAAAAGTGAATCTGAAATGAAGACTTGGAGAAGTAAATCTTCAGAAACTCCATTTGGCAGAGATTTCTGATCTGATAGTATGCCAGTACACTTAATGAAGAAAAACGTGGTCCAAGGAGAAAAAAAAAATACATAAAACGGATTCAAAAAGATTCAAAATTGATTCAAAAAGAATCAACTTAAACTTTCATAAAAGAAGCATAGTTACTTTGTTAGGTAATCTAAAATAAAAATTTCACCAATTGTGTTTACTCCTGAAGCCTCCAAATCAGAAATATTTTAAACAATCTATGAAAAGAAAAACATAAAACACTGATAATTGTACTGGTATTGCTATGATTCAATTTTGGTGAGTCATCACCATGTGCTTCAACAGTCTTTCACCTCAAAGATGGTTGATCCTATGAAAACCCAAAACTGGTCATTGGTTCATGTACCTTTATTTTCTGTTTTTAACAAAATTATCGACCTTGAAGGAGAAGTTATCTGTATTTCTCTTGTACCGCATATTAAATATAGAGCAGCGCTAGACCCATATTTGGTCCTTAATGAATTGTGAATTGGTTTAAATATTTAGGATTATATGGCATAGTAATTTTTTTTAATATGAGGGTCTAGGTATTGAACTAATATCACAGATCAATCACAAACAGAGGTCTTATCTATACAACATTAAAATAAGTGTATTAAGGGGAAGTTATTACAACTAATTATTTAGCACTAGTGACAAAATTAACAATGGGTTGAAGGTTGAATTTTTAAACAATTTTAAAAAATTTTAAGTGTAAGACTGTGTTTATTCACAACTCGTGATGTCACTACTCCTTCAAAAACTTCTTTTTGGACAAAATGACAAGAAAAATTACAATACCAACCAACAACCGAAGATGCACAGAAACTTTGAAAAGCATAATTTAGATAATTACACGGTAAATTAACTTTAGATATTTTCAGTGACACAAAGTTGAAAGCCTGTGCCTTAAATGAAAGCTATTATGATGTAAGCAAACTGGCTTTCATTCACTTACTTTGGCAAGAGAGAACATAAGGAATCAACTCTAAATTGGCATCTCATTACAGGAAGTGCATATACAATTTTTATTTCTTATGGATTAAACTCAGAAAGGTAATAGATTGGGATAAAAGGAGAGCAAATCTTTGAACTGGTTGATTTTTTAAAGACTTATGCAACTAGGTGAGATTCTGAGCAAAGATGAAAGTGTTATGAAATTCATAAGATATTTTGTGGTTCTAATCACACAAGTGACAACAGGAGGTGGTCTTTCTAGTTCTGGTCTCAACAGCTTTTGGCCGTCTTTTCGCCAGGCCAAAGGGTTGGCCACAAAAGCAGTATCATTCCAGATTTACATCACTGTCATGAGCCCTGATATTATCATCTTTTTTTTTTAAGGTTTAGAGTGTCTAAACTTAAATCAGTGTCTATTATTTTGTGTATTTTGTTAAGGGATGAGATTTTCGATCATCTGATGTGACAGTGGCTGCACGGAAGCATGGAAGATTGAAGATGCACACAAAGTAGAAGAGTGAAGACTGAACTTTGCAGAATGCCTCCAAGCCATATACAGAAATTACTGAACCCAGGACAAGAAAATATGTCTAGAATCTAGGAGGATATTCCTTGGAGAGTCAAGTGGCTGACCCCCTCAGTTTAGAAGAGCATTGTACTTGGCTAATAGTATTTATTCATGTGTAACACAGATTGCCAGTAATGGCACAGATACCATCATGACTGGCTAGTAGAAAGTCTAAAGCTACCAGATTTTCTATTTCACGTGAGTCAAATAGTTGAGACTCATCATTCAGCTTTGAGAGCTGTGAAAGTGTTCTTTAAAACTTCGGACAAGGTTAACAATAAATTTCTGGTCACCTATTCCAATTATATAACCCTCATTGTAGAAACCATTACCCAGATGTTGTGCATAAAAAGTGAATCAATATTTCCTCTGGGTAACTGTCCTGAATAGCCTATCATGGCTTCATCTTACATGTTCCTAGGGACATGCCTCAATGACACAATGTCCAAAAAGGGACCCAGGATCTTGGATTTCTGAAGTCTCTGACAATTACCCTGCAGGCACAAGGTAAGTTAAAGTGAGGGAAACAGGTGAAGGCTTGACTTCCCTTGTAAAAATAACACACCACTGCAGTGTAGGTGCCATTTAAGAGTAGTGTGCCAATTATCTCTTCCTTGAGAAAAGCAAATGGCCTGGGTGTAGCCAAATAACTCCTAAAGCTCTTGTGCTGAACCCCTATTAACCTCAATAGGGAAGTTACCAGGTTCAAGAGGACAAAGAAGAGATTTGGAGCCAGCAAATGAGACATGTGGTTTTATAAGGGGCTTACACAGAGGCGAGGGAGTCCAGTGGCAGTAGGCTACATAGAAAAATCACCTTATATACAGTCCAGTGGTGCAGGCTGGACAAGATAACAGCCAGTCCAGTGAGCACGCCAGTGAACAGTCCAGTGACAGTGGCCACCTTACATAGTCCAGTAGCAACAGGCTGGACAGGATATCTGCCTTACCGATAGTCCAGTGGCAGTGGGCTGGGCAAAATAACCACCTCACCTACAGTCCAGTGGTGGCAGACTGGACAAGATATCTATCTTACACACACACCAGTGGTGGTGGGCTGGATGAGCTAACCACCTTACTTATAGTCCAGTGGCAGCAGACTACAGTCCAGTGGTGGCAGGCTGTAGTGAAGGGCTGGACAAGATATCCATCTTACATGTAGTCCGTTGGTGGTGAACTGGGCAAGATAATTGCATGGCCCAGTGGTGGTGGGCTGGTCAGGAAAGCCACAATGGCTTACAAACAGCATTTTCATTTATCACCCTCTACTTATGAACCTCTTCATCATAGCCATCTTTTAACCCAAACTCAGGGCCTCAATCCCCTACACAGCTCTTGTTCCACTGGGTGGGCCACGTTCTTAGATGTTCCTCATACATAAGGAACGAAATTTTAGGTTGGTCATTCCTGACTTCCCTACCTTGGAACACACATTCAGGTGTGTCTGCCATACTCTTATTCTGAGGGCTTACGTAACTTATTACTCTCAGGTGCGTTTATCATATAGCTCTTAACAAAAGATTTTAGGGTCATTCTCTTGATTTTATCTCATGTTTTCCTGTCAGCATCCTGGATTTAATTTTTGTCTCACCATATATTTCTTTTCTCTCTCTCTTTTTTTTTTTTTGGAGACAGACTCTTGCTCTGTTGCCCAGGCTGGAGTGCAGTGGCGTGATCTCGGCTCACTGCAACCTCCGCTGTCCGGGTTCAAATGATTCTCCTGCCTCAGCCTCCTAAGTAGCTGGGATTACAGGCATGAGCCGCCACGCCTGGCTAATTTTTGTAGAGAAAGAGTTTTGCCATGTTGGCCAGGCTGGTTTCAAACTGTTAACCTCAGGTGATCTCTCCACCTTGCCCTCCCAAAGTGCTGGGATTACAGGCACAAGCCATTATGCCCGGCCTCATCATATATTCTTAATTTTAACATCTACCATCTGGAATAAGCTGAAAATAAAAAATAAAAATAAATAAATAAATAAATAAACAAACAAACAAACACCACAAGTCCTGGCTGTCTTTAACTAGCTGGAGACACCAATTCCTTGCCACCTAGGCCTCTCAATAGGGCAGCTCATAACATGAGCTTTAACATTCTTTCCCTCAATTTTTCTATCTCTCTTCCCTTTTTATTAGAAACAGCACGAAGAAACCAGGCAGTGCCTTCAACACTTCGTTTGGAAGTCTAGCTAGATCACCCAGTTTATAAGTCACATTTTCTACATTCCATGTTACTGCAGGCAGTAAATAGTATTGCCAAGATCCCTACTGCTATATATATGTATATATAATAAGGAACACCCTCCCCTCAACCTTTCTCTAGTTTTCAATACCTCACTTCTTTTTTGAGACCTGATGTATCTTCAATGTCCATGTTTTTAACAGCGAATTCAAAGCATTTTATGTTTTCACGAACACTCTCTTCAAAGCCCAATATCCAGCCCCAACACCATCCCACATTTTAGATTTTTATATAGCAGCACTCCACTTTCAGGTACTGAAATGTGTATTTCCGTACCTGAATACAAGACCTCCACTTTCAGGTCATATTTCAGGTACTGAAATATGTATTATTTATCTATTTATATTAACAAATTAACCCCCCAAATCAGCAACTTAAAACAATAAACAGTACCTTCCAGATTTTGTGGGTGAGAAATCCGAACGCGGCTTAGCGGATCACCTGTGACTCAGGTTGCAATTGCAATGGCATTGTCCCCTGAAGCTGCAGTCTCCTCGAAGCTCAAGTAGGGAAGCATCCACTTCCAGGCTCACTCATGTGGCTCTTGGCAGGCCCCAGTCCCTCACTGATTTGCTAGCTGGAGAAACCAATTCCTGGCCACCTGGGCCTCTCAATAGGGCAGCTCATAACACGGCAGCTGTCTTCACTTAAAGTTGAGTGAGAAAGAACCCTGTCTCTCTCAAGAAATGTCATAATCTTTTTCTAACCTAACCTGGGAAGTGATATCATATCACTTTGCTTTATTCTGTTAATTAGAGTCAAGCTACCCTGTCCAGCCCACATTCAATGGGACAGGACTGCACAAGGGCATGAAGATCAGGAGAAGGGATCATTTAGGACAATTTCAGACCAGCTACCTCAAAGGCAAGTCTGTTTAAAGTAACAAAGACTGTAATGGGTGAAATCAAATTTTCCCAGAATAACATACACTCTGATGTGGAACATAACAAAATCCGAGCTCAGACAGAACATGCGACTCACCTCTCCACTGAATTCCAGAAAACTTGAGGTGAACAGGTGAAACTGTCCTTGAAAGATATGTGCACAAGCATGAGGGTCTCAGCTGAGTCTTGTTGAATCTTCAAATTGTGGAAAGCTCCCTCCATAAGTAAAGAAACTTGTTACTGTATCAGTAGAGTAAGTTTTATTGACTTACTTCAGCAAGAAAAAATCGCTACAAAGACAATTCTGAAATTGAGTCATAGTAGCGGAAGTAAATGTATGGTTTTTGTTGCTTATAGCTTAGAGGTCATTAGGAGGGGACTATTTGAAGTAGGATGGAGTCTTTGGATTGATTGACGTGAGGCAAGGCTTTGAGCAAGTGAGTATTGGGCAAGTCATAAAACATTCTGCAATTGCTATTGTATAAGTATGAGGGTGGTTGTTCCCGTTTTTAGTGGCCACCACTTAATTTAAGACACATTAATCATATCATTGCCTAATGTAATATACGGGCATACTTTGGAGATATTGTAGGTTGAGTTCCAGACCACTGAAATAAAGTAAATATGACAATAAAGTGAGCCACACACATTTTTTTGGTTTCTCAATGCATATAAAAGTTATAGTTACACTGTAGTGTAGTCTATTAAGTGTGCAATAATATTCTAAAAGAACAATGTACTTTAAATAAAAAAATACTTTGTAGCTAAAAATGCTAGCAGTAGCTACTTTTTAATTTCATTATTATTTTATTTTATTTATTTATTTATTTATTTTGAGAAAGGGCTTGCTCTGTTACCCAGACTGGAGTGCAGTGGCACAATCATGGCTCACTGCAGCCTCAACTTCCTGGGCTCAAGCAATCCTCCCACCTCAGCCTCCCAAAGTGTTGGGAATACAGGCATGAGCCACTGCCCAGATTCCTTACCTCTCTCAGCTTTCATAGAACTGAAGAAAGCCTTGCTCTGGCTTAGGCTTTGGCTTAAGGAAATGTTGTGGCTGGTTTGATAGTCTACTCAGATCAATAAAAATTTTGCTGTGTCAGCACTAAAATTGTTCTACTTTCTTACTATTTGTGTATTCACTGAAGTAGCTCTTTTAATTTCCTTCAAGAACTTTTTGTTTGCATTCACAATTTGGGTAACTGTTTGGTGCAAGATGCCTGGCTTTTGGCCTGTTTTGAGTTTCAGCATGCCTTTCTCACAAGTTTAATCACTTTCTAGCTTCTGATTTGAAGAAAAAGAAGTGCATGCTTTCTTTCAGTTGAACACTTAGAGGCCATTGCAGGGTTATTAATTGGCCTAACTTCAATAATGTTGTGTCTTGGAGAACAGGGAGGCCTGAGAAGAGGGAGACGGAGACGGAATGGCAGTGGGAGCACGCACCTTACATGGGTGCAGTTTGTGGTGCTCCAAAACAATCACCATTGTAACCTCAAAAATCACTATCAGCCGGGCGTGGTGACTCACGCCTGTAATCCCAGCACTTTGGGAGGCCGAGGCAGGTGGATTACGAGGTCAGGAGATCGAGACCATCCTGGCTAATATGGTGAAACCCAGTCTCTACCAAAAATACAAAAAATTAGCCAGGCGTGGTGGCGGGTGCCTGTGGTCCCAGCTACTCAGGAGGCTGAGGCAGGAGAATGGCGTGAACCTGGGATGCAGAGCTTGCAGTGAGCCGAGATTGTGCCACTGCACTCCAGCCTGGGCGACACAGCCAGACTCCGTCTCAAAAAACAAACAAAACAAAACAAAAAATCGCTGATCACAGACCACTGTAAGAGATATAATAATAATAATAATAATAATAATAACATTTGAAATGGTGTGAGAATTACAAAAATGTGAAACAGAGGCATGAAGTGAATGCATGTTCTGAAAAAAAAATGGTGCTGATAGGTGCCCAACGCAGAGTTACTGCAAACCTTCAAATTCGAAAAAAAAACAGAAACAAACGAACAAAAAAATGCAGTATCTGTAAAATGCAATAGAGCAAAGCACAATAAGACAAGCTATGCTTGTATTGCGTATTTGGTCCAAATATGTTATCTTTATCCTGTGAAATAAATATGGAAATGTGACCAGAGAGCTCATTGTCTAATATATAAATTCAAATATCCAAATGGCCTGTAGTATATTTTAAGATTTTTTAGACTATGGAGCCAGAAGCCAGTGTTTAAATCTAGCACTGTCACTCCCGAAATATGTGAAATTGATTCAGTTGCTTTAACCTCTCTATGCCTCAGTCGTGTATTTTAAATCAGAGATAAAAATAGCAAATATACCATAGAGTGGTTTGAGGATTAAATGAGTTCATACATATAAATCACTCAGAAGAGTGCCCAGCACATAGTTAACACCTAAATAAATGAAAGCTATCATGATTCTTATAGTAGTGATAATGTCTTATTGTTCATGTCAAAAAGTCCTTTTCAACTCACTCCCACAAATGGTCTAAATTAACCAAACTAACAACAAAATATATACTAACAGAAAATAACATCTTTGTACTTATTATCCATAGGATGTTGGATGGGGAATTTCACTCTAGCATTGAGTATGCCTGGTATAGGATAAATTAATCTTTGGCTTGCCTGAGTTGCTAGTCCTTGCTTTTCTTGGTTGAAGTTTCCCAGCATTCAGGGTTAAAATCTATAATACAGCACACCCAATAGCTGTGTCTGCCTCTTTAAGGTTTCATCTTTCTCTTACCTCGGGAGCTCGGGGGCTTTAGTGTGTTTTCGAAAGTCTTTACTTATTAACAGATGACTTCTATTAATTTGTGGAGAAAATTAGATATTATGAAAGGTAATGCCCAAACCTTATAAGCTATACCTCCAGAAACCTGATAAAAAATCTCACTTCTTTGCCTGTACTTTCCAATTTTTCATCCTGTAATGCTGTTTCTAGTGTGATATCACAGTCAGTAAATTTTTCACTTCAGGTCGTGGCGAGAAGCCAGGTGGTTTTAAAGTCATTTGCTCAGGCAAAAGAAGAATGGTCCATTTGGAGTTGAAGTATCCTGGAGGGCATTGTTGCAATTAGATAGATGTATGACCATGGGTTTTCATTAGAACACTAGGTATACACTCCATATCATTATTCTAAGAAACTGCACTCACAGACTGAGGTAGCGTAATACTACTGAGTCAATATCCCACAGATCTGTAAGCACAATTTCTAGGTAGGAGCCATCTTAATTCTATTTATTTATACCTTTATTATTTTTAATAGACAAAATCACTCTTAATTAACCCTATAGTACAGTTCTATAATCAAATTAATTTAAAGTCAGTCAGAGGAAGGAAAAGAATGAGCTTTATAAGATCAATATTAATGTTTCTTTTTTATGTCCTACACCTAGTAATAATGCTATTACCCTGTTCTTCCTAACATAGAACCTATGCTCTTACAAAAAAAGGAAACTGTAACACCTTTCTGTAGAGTTCCTTCACATTACATGTTTATAAAGTTGAGACAAATATGTTATTTCTCCTTTTTATTTAAAGATTTTAAACCAAACCTTGAAGCAATTAAGTTAATAACTATAAAGACTTATGGGTAAAATGTAATTATAACAAATAAACTTAACATAAAATTTCTCCATAATAAAACAACTCCTATGTCTTCATTCATTCATTCATATCAATTTTTCTTGACAATCAGCAGCTACCTTTATACTGAATGCCTAGATGGCACTACAAAAGATTCTAAAAATATAAAGGGATATGTAATATGATCTTTATATTTAATAGGTAACTTTTAGAGAAAGAAAATATGGACATTTAAAGGATTAATAACAATACAGTAAAGCAAATTTCATCCATCAAACTGGGCTTCTTGGAGAAGTAATGAAGGAATGTTCCTCATTATGTTCTGTCCCTGTATTTAAAAAGGTTTGCTCGGTCGGGCACGGTGGCTTACGTCTGTAATCCCAACATTTTGGGAGGCCGAGGCAGGTGGATCACTTGAGGTCAGGAGTTCAAGAGTAGCCTGGCCAACATGGTGAAAGCCCTGTCTCTACAAAAAATACAAATATTAGCCAGGGGTGGTGGCACACACTTGTAGTCCCAGCTATTTGGGAGGCTGAGACAGGAGAATTGCTTGAGCCCGGGAGGCAGAGAGGTTGCAGTGAGCCAAGATCACGCCACTGCACTCCAGCCCGGGTGAAAGAGCTAGAATCCATCTCAAAAAAAAAAAAAAAAAAAAAAAAAAAAAAAAAAAAAACTGGTTTGCTCAATGCACTGCCACTCTGACTTTCTGAAGAAGAGCTGCAGAGATTCAACATCAGCACATCTGTTGGGCATCTGAGGCAGAATTTATAGAGATTCTTGTCCTAATTTTAAAAGCCAGGGTCCTTCAAAACCCCACTAGAAAAATCATCTGGGATCTTCTGCCAATTTTGACCCCAAACAACTTTAAACACCATTCCTCTTCCATAACCTCAACCACTTCCATCTCCTTGCTGTAAGAAATATTCTGAAATTTGGTTAAACCCTGAAAACATTGCTTTCCTTTGCAACTATTTGGAATGAAAACCACTGCTTATTAATAATAATAGTGGTCATTTATTGAAAACCTTTTTTAAAAGCCTTGCTGTCTTAGGCAATACAGGCTGCTATAACAAAATACTACACAGGCTTGCTGACTTATAAACAACAGAAATGTGTTTCTCACCATTCTGGAGGCTGGTAAGTCCACGATTAATCCACCAGCAGATTCAGCATCTGGTAAGAGCCAGCTCCCTCATAGGTAGCTGTCTTCTCACTGTAACCTCGCATGGTAGAAAGGACAATGGGGGGTTTTCTGAGGGTCTTTTTTATAAGGGCACTATAGGGAAAAGCTAACTGTTTTCTCCTACTGTCAACTCTAGTACTCACACTAAATACACTTCTGATCACAAAAGAAGAATTTCTCCCCCACTGATCAATTCTCCAGCTGGGCATCCTATAATTCAATTAAATTCTGACACTAACTAGAGTTGGAACAGAACATACAGATTAAGGACTCAGTTCCACAAGACTGCCTCCAATTTCAGATACTAGGTTACCTGTGCTTCTGACCAAGGGGCTATTTGTTGGAGGTTCCTACAACCTTCTTCTCAGCTTCAATCATTTGCTAGAGCAGTTTTCACATAACTCAGAAAGGCACTTATCTTACGTTTGCTGGTTTATCATAAAGGATATTACAAAAGACACAAATGAACAGGTAGATAGAAGACGTGCATAGGGCAAGGTATGTAGGTATTGTGTAAGCAGGATTGATTAAATCATTGGCCATTGATAACCAACTTTACCTTCAGCCACTCCTCCCCTCTTCAGAGGTCAGGGAGTAGAACTAAAAGCTTCAATCCTCTAATCATATATGTAGTTACTCTAGGGCTAGTTACTCCAGCCTTCTCTGTCATCAGTAATCTCATTAGCATAAAAAAAGACATTTATCACTTCCAGACTCCAAGGATTTTAGGAATTGTGTGCCAGAAAATAGGGCAGTGATGAAATATATATTTCTTATTTATGTCACAAGTACTAATGTCATTCATGAGGGCTCTATCCTCATGACAAAAATCCTCCCGAAGGCCCATCCTCCTTTCTGAGCTAAGAGTTACTATCACCTTGGGGGTTAGTTTTTAAACATATGAGTTTGAGGGTGATGCTTGCCAAGCAAGGTAAAATACGAATATTATATATTTTTACTTTATTTAATCCTCACAATAACCTATAAGGTAGACACTATTATTTCAAATCATAGCTAAATGAAAATAAAACAAGAGGTTAAATAGTTTGCATCAAATCATAAAGCTACAAAGTGGCAGAGCTAGGATTCAGTCAAGATTGCCTATAAAACCTTCCTCTTTAACTTTTTAAAATAATTTCAGAATTACATAAAAGTTGACAAAATTACATAATTAAATTTTAGATACCCTTCACCCAAATTACCCACATGTTAATGTTACTGAAATGCTAGGGGTTCAGTCTAGGTCCTATAGCTCACTGCACAAAAAGCCAATCACTGAGACAATGAGTATTGCCAGGGAAGAAGGCATGAATCAGGTGCTGCAGTCGAGGAGAAAGGGAGATCAGTCTCACATCCGTGTCCCTGATTAACTAAAATTGGAGGATTTATATAGCAGGGAGGAAACATAAAACAGAAGTTAGGGAGGGGTAAAGAAGCAATCATAATGAATGAGGGGTCTCACTGTCTGGATACCGTAATCTGTTGAGGTTTAATTCCTTTCCTGAAGGTTAGTTTCCTGAGGAAGGAAACTTAAGCTTCAAGTTTTAAGTCTAGGAAAACTTGTTTATTAAAAAAAAAAAGAAAACCTATAAACATTATTTCTATAGGATATTTGGGTCATTTTCATTAACATTTTATTACAATTGCTTTATCATTTTTTCTCTCTCCTTCTCCATCTCCCTCTCTCATTTGAATTATTTGAGAGTAAGTTTCAGGTATGATGGGCTTTTAATCTTACATACATTCTTGTTTATTTCCTTAAAATAAAGACTATTCTTTTTCATCCACAATAATATCCTTTATAATAGGAGGAAGGTCAGAATTATGTGTTGCATTCAATGTCTTGTCTGTTTATTTTCCTTAATCTGGAATTATTTCTGAGTCTTTTTTTGTATTTCATGATATTAACGTTTTCAATATCATTGAAACATTCCCTGAAGATTCCAAGGAAGTTTTTTGTTTAATTTTTTTTTTTTTTTTTTTTGAGAGAAAGAGTCTCGCTCTGTCGGCCAGGCTGGAGTGCAATGGCACGATCTTGACTCACTGCAACTTCCATCTCTCGGGCTCAAGCAATTCTCCTGCCTCAGCCTCCCAAGTAGCTGGGATTACAGGCATGTGCCACCACACCGGGCTAATTTTTGTATTTTTAGTAGAGATGGGGTTTCACCATGTTGGCCAGGCAGGTCTTGAACTTCTGACCTCAGGTAATCCACCTGCCTCAGCTTTTCAAAGTGCTGGGATTACAGGTGTGAGCCACTGCATCTGGCCTAATTGTTTAGAATGTACCTCCATTTGGGTTTCTTTTATAGAAAACCTTACTCCTAACTACAACATCTGCTATACGCTCACTCCATCATCTTACATAATACAGCTGTTTTCCCAAAGGGTAACGGTAACACATTAGTGGAATAAGTATTCACTTTTTGCATTCATTTTTTAAAGAGGGTTCCAGAAGTATATTAGCTGCAGTTTCCACAAACTTATATCTGTCCCTGCTCCAGATATTTCATGTTCACATGTTCAGTTGGAATATACTAACTTTCCTCAGCACAAAAGATAAGTCAATCTTGCCAACATTCACTGCCACCCTAGGTGTCTCTCATATACAGTTGGTAACTAAATCTTATCCATATTACTTATAAGAGTTTCTAGAATGTCTAACTTGCTTTGTCTCTAATATTGCCGTAGTCTCCTAGTCTCTCATTCCTGACCTTTAGCAAGTCTACCTTGTCTCTCACCTTCCAATTTTGTCACCTCTATCATCCATTTTCCTTCCTCTCTTCTTTTTCCATTATAGTGACTTGTATTGCATAACTAGATTGCTTAAAATGAGTCAGTTGCCTGAAATATACCCATTAGGATAAAGACTACACTTTTTTTTTTTTTTGAGACAAAGTCTCACTGTTGTTGCCCAGGCTGGAGTGCAATGGCGCAATCTCAGCTCACTGCAACCTCCACCTCCTAGGTTCAAGAGATTCTCTTGCCTCGGCCTCCTGAGTAGCTGGGATTACAGGCACATGCCACCATGCCCGGCTAACTTCTGTACTTTTAGTAGAAACAGGTTTTCACCACATTGGCCAGGCTGGTCTCGAACTCCTGACCTCAGGTGATCTGCCCTCCTCGGCCTCCCAACGTGCTGGGATTATAGGTGTGAGCCACTGCACCTGGCCAAGACTACACTTTCCTACACACAAAGCCTCTGTGATCTAGTTTAGTGCCAACCTCTCCATAGTCATTTCCTACTCCTTCAACATTGTTTACCCGATCTAATGTTCTCTGCCTGTATCTTAGTAATTCAAAACCATCAATATTCCAAATATCCTATCATTCCAAAATACTCATGAAATGTAGCAGGCAATGTTATAACCCTGAGTCTCTGCATATGCCATTTGTTTTCTTGGGCTAGAAAGCTTTATCCCACTATCTCCATCTGATGAATTTCTATCCATCTTTTGAAAATCTCAGGTTAGCTCTTTTATGAGGCATTCACCAGAATCTCTTTGTGGAATGGTTAATTCCCAACTTTATTTTTCTACAACTTTATGTATTTCTACCTTGATTTTCAGACACTTTTATGTTTTTGGAACTTACATATTTACCTTTGTAAATATTACCTCTGTCACCCCCCACTGGAGTGTGAACAATTTGAGAGCACGGACTGTGTCTTAATTAGTTAATATTACTGTTGGTTGAACAGTAGCATGTAGCAAATGAGTCACAGACTTCTGCTGAATTAATATATTAATAAATCTTTTTCTATGGATCTCAGATCTTTCCCCATTATAATGGAATCAGCTTTGACTAATAGGAAGGATTTGAAAGATGTTTCAGTCCAGGTCCACAGCAGGAAAAAAAGAAAAATAACCACAATGGTTTAGGGGAGAGAACTTATCAAAGGAACCACCCACAGAGGTGTGGAGAGGGTTCAGGGGACCAATAAGAGATGTTATATCACTCAGTCTCTAGCAACAAAAGGAGGAAATAATGTTACGAGAACCCAAAAAGAGCTGGAGGCATAGAGAAGGGACTAGAAGCAAAGCAATAGATAAGAAGAGACCAACCCACTGCCAGAAGCTCATCAGGAAAGCAGACAGAGCAGGAACCTAATACCCTGCCTTCTTTTCTTTCATGTTCCTATCTCCTGCTGGTATCTTTCAGTGGCTGAACCCACTGAAAAGCCAGCCGTCAGTGGAGTCTGGATGATACCTTCTCTGGAGTCAGCCTTCTGGGGCAAGGAGCAGGGCATTAGAAAAGCTAAAATGTCAAGCAGGATGTGGTTAGAAACTAAGAATAAGAAATAGGCTGGGTGTGCTGACTCAAACCTGTAATCCCAGCACTTTGGAAGTCTAAGGCAGGAAGATCGCTTGAGCCCAGGAATTTAAGGCTGCAATGAGCCATGATCATGCCACTGCACTTCTGCCTGAGCAACAGACGGAGACCCTATCTCAAATAAATAAAATTAGAAAACTACAATATTTTTATAAAAGCCAACAAAAAAATTAAAGAAAAAAATTTTAAGGCTGAAATAGACCTGAGTAGGGTAATAAAGAATAACCCACAGGACAGATAAGAAAAACCCATGCAGAAGCGAGAGTTAATATTTGTTGTGCTCTATATTATCCAGACACCAAACTAAGCACTTTATATCATCCCTTTTAATCCTCCTCACAATCCTATATTGTAGGCCTATTATTATTTACCCCTCCCAAAATAAAAAGAAACTTAGAGAAACTAAAATAAGTGATCTCAGATCACGCGCAGCTGATAATGCACCTACTAGGCCCACCATTGGCTCCCTGTCAGAATTCAAGTTACATTTTATGCATGGGCTAGATTACTTTCTCCAAAGCCCTCCCTCTGGATATGAATTCTAAAGTGGGTCTCAAATAGAGAAGGGTAGGTGATGTATAACCACACTGCCTTATGATTTCCTTACAATGAATTTTAGCCTAATTCTTAAGTTCGTTGTAGTCATTGCCTCGTAAATAGAAAAATGAAGAAGAGTTGGTATAGTTAGGGTTTCCATGGCTCACTATTACCATGGCTGCTTCTCTTTACTTCCAAATCCTCCACACCAGAACAAAGCAATCTCCCAATATCTTCTATATTTTGTAAAGAAACGCCCATATTAGATTTTAAGCACTCCTTTTCAATGGCTAATGCTTAATTGTTTGAGCTGCAAGCCATTCCACCTCAATTTCTGGGGTCTAAAAATATAATTAATAGAATATTCATTTCAGTAAAATCTTTCCCAAAACAATACAAAGACTCAGAGAGTTTGTTTATAAAGAATTTTACATGTGTGTACCTAAGGCTTTTTACATAATTACTGAAGATTTTTACTTAATAATTTAAAAGAAAGACTACTACAGTTCAGATAAGAGGCACAAGTACAGCTAAGAGATAGTAAATTAAGACCCAGGGGGAAAGTTTGAAGGAAGTGCCATTATGTAGCCTATAAAAGAAAAGTAGCCAAATAAAGTTGAAATAAAGGTTTCTAAGAATGTGAAATACAGCTAAAGATAGGTGATAAATTCAGCTTAGCCCATCCACCTGTGTGTACAACCCAGTTCTGGGCACTCTGGAAGATACAAAAGTGGACCAGCTATCACCCCTGCTTAATTAAGATTGGGTGATATCTTCATAGACAAATACCCAAAAATACAAGGTTTAATAGATGCTTTGTGTGAAGGACATTGATTCCACCATGGAGTTAGTTCATCACTATCTCTTTCCTAGATAACTGTGATAACCTTCCACTCTTGGCCCCTCACTAGATAGTATACACAGCAGCTAGAATGATCCTTTAGGACCTAAGTCAGCTCATGTCACTCCTCTGCTCAAAATTCTCCAGTGGGCCCCAGCACAACTTCTTACCATAGTTTACAAGGCCCTCAGTGATTTGGTCCTTCATTACTTTTCCTGCACTACCTCCTTCATTCTCTTCCTCACTTGCTGCATTCCAGCCTCCCTTGTCTTCATGCATTTCCTCCTGTTCACCATGTACACTTGGCCTCATGGCATCTGTAGTCGCTATGTTTATTCACTAAATGAATTCTTGGTTTTCATTGTAAGGGAATGGGCATTATTTGTTGTTTAAACTATTTTTCAAAGGCAGAACTGTTTAAAACATGCCTTAGAAAATCAGTAAGATTTTTGATAGAAAGAAATGAGAGGAAAATGAGAAAAAGTATCTCAGTATTAAATAGTATTGGTTGAAGGAAAGTATGACTTTAAGAATAATGAAAAATTGAGATTGAAAGGAGCACAGGATGTCTAAAGAACAGCAGTGGAGATAAAATTAGGACAGCAAGGTGTAATGGGATTATGGATGACTTTAAATGTCACATTGGGACACTATTTATCAGTAAAAACTGACTGAATAGTAGCTATTTTTAGAAAATTTAATTTTTCCAACAGCATGCAGAAAAATGTTGGAGGAAAGGGAGATGAAATAGAGAGCCATGGCAGTAGTTTAGACAAAAGAAAGTAAAGTTCCAAAAAAGGGAGTTGTAGTAAGAACAAAATGAGATTAGGGATTAAAGGAGGATTACAAGGCAAGGGGTAAGAAAGATAATGCTTTACCCAAAGGATTTGAATGAAAGATCTGATGGGATAATCCAACAAAAATAAACAGCAAATCCTTTTCTGAAGTGGTAGCTCAAGTCTATAGATTGAACTGAAATTTTTCAAGAAAAAATCTAGACAATCTAGAGTGTTCAAGAACAATCTAGACACAGACCAATAACTGAAAATTCAGAAAAGCCCATATTGCTGGAACATATTGGAGAAAATAGGGCAGAGCATGAGATTGGTAACATACAGTCAGAGGGGAAGCAAATGGAGAGTATCCATGGCTGTAGAACCTAAGAGAGGAGGCTTTCAGCATAAAACAATCAATAGAGGTCAGGCGCGGTGGCTGACGCCTGTAATCCCAGCACTTTGGGAGACCGAGGTGGGTGGATCACCTGGGGTCAGGAGTTCGAGACCAGCCTGGCCAATGTGGTGAAACCCTGTCTCTACTAAAAATACAAAAATCAGCCAGGTGTGGTGGCAGATGCCTGTAGTCCGAGCTACTAGGAAGAGTGAGGCAGGAGAATCACTTGAACCCAGAGAGGGTGGAGGTTGCAGTGAGCTGAGATCGTGCCATTGCACTCCAGCCTGGGCAATAAGAGTGAAAATTTGTCTCAAAAAAATAAAAATAAAAATAATCAATAGAGTCAAATGATATAGAAGAGTCATTGGAATGATACTGGGAAGTCCCAGGATTTGGCAAGTAAGTTTTCACTGATAAACATTCATGGAGTAGTTTATGTAAAGCGGTGAGGTAATGGTAAAAAGAGCCAGCATTGGAGAAGGTATGAGATGGAAGTTCACATCAAAGGAATTGCAAAATAAGAGGCAAGAACGTTTTAAATAATAGAACACAGTATCTGACACATAATAAGTAGATGTTCAATAAATACTCGTTGAATAAATAACTACTTATTTAATAGGGAGACACTGAAGGTAAAATAGAATCATTTCTAAAATTTAGTAGGATGAAAATACAGCAATATTTTGCTTAGAATAAATCCAAATTCTTTAATGGCCTATCAAGACCCTTTACAACTTGCCTTGTCTCTCCATCCACACTCTATCTTTGTCCTCCACTCTCTCCCTGCTCCAGCCTTGCTAGCTTTCTTTCAGTTCTTCAAACACACAAACTCTGTCCCAATTTTCATTTTCCCTAGCTTTTTCCTCTACCTCCAATGATCACTTCCAGAACTTCCTAATGGCCAGCAATTTCCCACAATTTAGATCTCAGTTCAAATGTAACACTCTTGGAAAAGCTTCCTCCAACCTTCTCATGTGAGGGAGTCTCCACCTGGGTCACTCTTCATCACATCTTATTTTTCTGTGTGTGTGTGTCTGTTTTTCTTTTTTTTAGACATTGTCTCGCTCTGTCGCCTAGGCTGGAGTGCAGTGGCACGATCTCAGCTCACTGCAACCTCAGCCTCCCGGGTTCAAGCGATTCTCCTGCCTCAGCCTCCTGCGTAGCTGGGATTACAGGCATGCGCCACCACGCCCGGCTAATTTTTTTTGTATTTTAGTGGAGATGGGGTTTCACCATGTTGGTCAGGCTGGTCTCGAACTCCTGACCTCGTGATCCGCACGCCTCAGCCTCCCAATGTGCTGGGATTACAGGCGTGAGCCACCACGCGTGACCTTCTGTTTTAACTTTTATAGGGCACAAGACACACTTTGAATCATCTTTCTCAGTATTTATTTATTGTTTGCCTCCTCCATTCTCCATGAGAACAGCTTCGTCATCTTACTCATTTACTGATTATTCTCCAGGCACCTGGAATCATCTCTAGCACATTAAAAATAAATAAATACCTGAAAACAAATGAATAAATCTTGATGTAGAAAGGATAAAATGCAGGAGAGTGCACATGGATAACTTTAGGCATTACTGTACATTAAGTTATGAATGAGTTAATTTCATTGATTGCACCCTTGCTTCCACCTTGCTCAGGCCCCCGGCAATTCTGACTCAACCCACTGCAATGACCCTGCCCTGGATCTTGTCCCACTCCAATGTATTTTTCCTACTGAAGCCAAAGTGACCTTCCTAAAGGACGTATTCAATTATTTCACTATCCCACCTAAAATGCAGATAAACACATAAGATAGTTTAAGCAGAAATAACTTTATTAAAAATAATTAAACAACAACAGACAATATATTAGGACAGAAGGCTAATCAGGCTTAGAGACTATATCAACAGGAGGAAAATAAATTTCTGAATTTACCACCCAACTGCTCTTGCAGAGACTCTGTCTCTGCTATTGCTAGTCACAGCAAAGATCACCAGCCCTGGACACTACAAGATGCCATGCTAGCCCTTCAGTTTTCTGTCACTGTTTTTTGTTGTTGTTGTTTTTTCCCTCCCCGAGACGGAGTCTTGCTCTGTCACTCAGGCTGGAGTGGAATGGTGCAATCTCAGCCCATTGCAGCTTCCGCCTCCAGGGTTCAAGCAATTCCAATGCTGGCTGCTTCTTTCCCACCCTTGCCTGGTTAAATTCCATTCAGCTTTTTTTTTTTTTTTTTTTTTTTTTTAGACAGAGTCTTGCTCTGCTGTTGCCAGGCTGGAGTACAGTGGCATGATCTCAGCTCACTGCAACCTCCTCCTCCCGGTTGCAAGTGGTTCTCCTGCCTCAGCCTCCCGAGTCCCTGGGACTACGGGCGCCCGCCACCACACCTAGCTAATTTTTCTTTTTTTTGTTTGTTTTTGTATTTTTAGTAGAGACGGGGTTTCACCATGTTAGCCAGATGGTCTTCACCTCCTGAGCTCGTGACCCACCCATCTCGGCCTCCCAAAATGTTGGGATTACAGGTGTGAGCCACCACACCCTGCCTCAAACTAGTCTCTTCTGAATTGATATGTTGGTAGATCTGCCTGGTGAACCTTGCACAGGCATAAACTCTGGACTGCTGGGAGGCAAGGAAAGCACTTTTCTAGCTTAACTTGAAAAATCAATGCTTGAGATGAGATGAAATGTAATGAAGGTCTACCACATACTTGTATGCTATTACTGCCATAATCACAATGTATCTTAGTTGCTTGATTTTTGGTCTGTCCTATTCATTAACTCCATGAAGTCAGGGTCCATGTCTGTGTCATTCACTATTTATTTCCTAACAGCTAGCAGAGCACCTGGTGTATAGTAAATGCTAAAAATATTATTTATTGAATGAATGAATGGCTTGTAATTGGGGCTTGAAGATAGTTTCAAACAGCTGTTACAATTATAATGTGGGAATTATAATTGGGAGTCAATTAGAGAAGACTAAAAGAATTGCTGAGTTGCATTTTATATCCTGCCAAGTTAGGGAGAATGCTTTTGTGCTGGAACTAATCACCACTGTTTAGTGAGTTTCTCAAGCAAGGCTAAAAAGCCTGGAAGGAAAAACTTAGGAATCTAAGCCAGTTTGTGGTTAGAAAAGGATTTGTGAGTAGAAGGCTAAAGACAGTCTGAGCTCACACCAAATGAAATATGCATACATAAAATGACTGACCGTAGAATTTAAGTTGTTTAAGAAATAAACCAGAAAAGGGATGGACAGTCAGTGAAAATGTGGAAAGATGAAATGAGTGAAGATGATAATAAAGGCAAAGATACAGTTTAGCATAACAGACTGGGAAGATATTTTACTCCACCTACCACCAAATTGTTACAGCGTAGTCTGTTGTACCTCCCATTCTCAATCCTACTCACTTTTATGCACCAACCTTGGCTAAAGTATTCATGGGCCAAAAGCCCCAAAGTACCTTCTCCCCGATCCAGAGTTGCTGAGAATTAAATTGTCCATTCTGAGCCACTAGACACAATCTGGCCCTGGCCCCCTTGTGTTTTTTTCTCTTTGCCAATCAGAAGCCAATGTTGACAGAATTAGTTATAGTTACCTGTTTGCTTTCCAGTTTTTTCCTTATCTTTCTCTGCCAAGACCAGCTGGGTTGCGGAGACCCTAACCCAGCAGCGCTAGAGGAATTAAAGACACACACACAGAAATATAGAGGTGTAAAGTGGGAAATCAGGGGTCTCACAGCCTTCAGAGCTGAGAGCCCCGAACAGAGATTTACCCACATATTTATTAACAGCAAACCAGTCATTAGCATTGTTTCTATAGCTATTAAATTCACTGAAAGTATCCCTTATGGGAAACGGAAGGGATGAGCCGAATTAAAGGAATAGGTTGGGCTAGTTAACTGCAGCAGGAACATGCCCTTAAGGCATAAATCGCTCATGCTTTTGTTTGTGGCTTAAGAATGCCTTTAAGCGGTTTTCCGCCCTGGGTGGGCCAGGTGTTCCTTGCCCTCATTGCAGTAAACCCACAACTTTTCAGCTTGGGCATTAGGGCCATTATGGACATGTTACAGTGCTGCAGAGATTTTATTTATGGCCAGTTTTGGGGCCAGTTTATGGCCAGATTTTGGGGGGCTTGCTCCCATTACTCCACGTTTGTTTGCAAATGCTTGTCTCCCACTGCCACACCTCATGGGTTCAATCTTTAGAACTGGTTGTCTGTTTTATGCCCTGTCTCTTATTTCTAAACAGATAGTCCCTGAAGTGCTGGAATGTGCTCAGAATGCTGCCACATATTGCAAGATCCGCTATCTTGCTCTGGATATGCCTCTCTTCAGACCAGAACCTTGTCCCAGTTATTAGACTGGCAGTGGAATCCTGTACTGATCCCATACATGACAAGTGCCCATCCTCCTGTCTCTTTAATCTTGGCCACCCTCTGGATGGCCTCACATTGGGATATCACCAGAACTCATGTTGATTGTGCCTGAGTTGAGACTGAGCTGCATTTGCCTCTTGGACTCTGCAGCTTGCTCACTTGTTTGCTCCTTTAGCAGGAAGTCAGTCTCCACTGCAAGGTCATCTACAACATATAATCCTGAAAAAGTATTAATATTGAGATTTATGCCCATTACTTAGACTATGACTAAATACAAAGTTAAGAGTGTACTAAATGAAAGGATGGTCTAGGTTAAGCTGTAGTAGCAAATGTCTCTGAAATCTCAGTGACTTACAGCAGAGTCAGAAACTTCTTCTGCAAAAGGCTAGTAGGTAAATATTTTAAGCTTTGTGAGTCACTTGACGTCTGTTGCAACTACTCATCACAGTGTGAATGCAGCCAGCAAGTGAATACATAAGCAAAGGAGCGTGGCTGTGTTTCAATAAAACTTTACTTACAAAAACAAATAGGGTTTTAGTTTACTGTCCACTGATTTATTTCATGCTCACAGCTTATTACAGGTTAGGTGCATGATACGTTCCACATTGTCACGACTGGCACTCTGGAACCCAAGCTAATGAAAGAGCCACAATTTGGAACATTACTTTTAATTGTAGCAAAAGAAAAGTTGCAAGATACTCACTAGTTCTTAAAGCTTTTGTCCAGAAGTGGCATATGTCATTTTAACTCATATTTCATCAACCAGTGCATATCGTGTGTTCTTGCTGAGTTTAACAGAGCAAAGAAGCATTAATCTCCTACAGATGAAGGGAACTAAGAAATGGTAAGCAGTAATATAGTGTACAACAAGGATTTGTGGTAAGAAAAGGAATTCCAAGCTTAAAAGCCTTCATGATGCAGCTTTAGATAATAAAGAAGTTCAAAGTAGTGTGCTTTAAGATAGCTGAAGAAAAATGGCATGGAATATGATTGGAGTTGAGAGAGTTGAGTAACTATGAACCCTGCATATGTCAAAGTTCATTAGTATTCACATGGAAGTGAACACTAGCTGTCCTTTATATCTGTCAAAAAAAAAAAAGAACAAGAAAAATAACAACATAATATCTTAGATAATGTGCCAGATCTGTGTAGCTCTGAAATTCCCTGAATATTCTAGCCCAGTAAGAGACAGGCAAAAGATCATGTAAAAAAAATAATGTAAACGCCATGATTTATTCCTAGTGCACACCAAAATACATTAGAAGTCTCAACTGTTGAACCTAATTATTTATTTTATAATTCCCTCTCTCTCCATACATATATATCCTAAATATAAAATTTATATTCAAAATTTGAAAATATCTTGAAATAACCACCTATGCAGTAAATCAATTAAATATTGTCATATATATTTGAAAAAATGAGAAACCAGTGGTGTACATTTGATGGCTGTTTTAGCATTTTATTGTTGCATTGGAAAAGAGGATTAGCTACTTTTTTCAGCATGGTGGAGCAAGATAGAAAAGATGAAGAAAGGGAAGGGGTAAGCATACATTATCACAGTTGCTTTCACCATTTCTTCTCCATAATGCGCAGGAGAAATAAAATTCTAATAATCAAAATTCCTGAACCAGTAGCTGTTATTTCACTCCTCTGCATGCATAAAATCACAAAGAAATATAAGAGGTGGATAGAAAAAGTATTTAGTGATAACTCTGAACCCACTCTACTCTTAAGCGTTTTAAACAAAACATAGACAGTGTTTGGTTTTGTTTGCTTTGTTAACTGGTATTGGTAATAAGCTACGTGCAACAATTCTGAGAAGTGACGGGGGCATGGCAATGTCATTAGACCCAGACACAGAACAGCTGAATTAGAATATGTTACCGGAGCACTCAAACTAGAACAGTCATGATCCTGTTAATTATTGTACTTATCATTTGATCTGCAGTCTAACTAGTAGATCGAATGCTGAGTGTAATAGTTTATTGGTTTAATCAGTTAAGGGCAACTCTCAGGAGAGGTTTGCCTTGGCCTCTGTTTCAAATGTGTAACTTTGCATGTGTTTTTGCCGCCTGTATTTCTTTTGAGAGAAAGGAAATTTCTGTTCACGCCCTTTGTCAGTTTTTAATGGGGTTGTTTGGTTTTTGCTGTTGTTGTTGTTGAGTTGATTGAGTCCCTTGTAGATTCTAGTTATTAGTCCTTTGTTAGAGGCATAACTTGCAAATATTTTCTCCCATTCAGTAGGTTGTCTCTTGATTATTTATTTTTCTTTGCAGAAGCTTTTTAGTTTAAGTTTTTTTTTTTTTTTTTTTTTTTTTTGCTTTTGTTGTATTTACTTTTGGGATATTTATCATAAACTCTTCGCTTAATCCTATGTCCAGAAAAGTTTTTCCTAGGTTTTCTTCTTGGATTTCTATAGTTTGAGATTTCACATTTAAGTCTTTAATTAACTTTGAGTTCATTTCTGTACATGGTGAGAGATAGGAATACAGTTTCATTTTTCTTCATATGGGTAGTCAATTTTCCCAGAACCCTTTATTGAAGAGGGTGTCCTTTCCTCATTCCTTATTTTTGTCGACTTTGCAAAGATCAGTTGGTTCTAAGTATGTAGCTTTATTTCTGGGCTCTTTATTCTACTCTTTTGATCTTGAAAAATGCTCAACATCAGTAATCATCAGGGAAATGCAAATTAAAACCACATTGAGATATTGTCTTACATCAGTCAGAATGGCTAACATTAAAAAGCCAAAAACCAACAGATGTTGGTGTGGATTGTAGAAAAGGAAATCATATACACTGCTGGTGAGAATGTAAATTAGTTCAACCTGTATGGAAATCAGTATGGAGATATCTCAAGGAACTAAAAATAGAACTCCCATTCGACCTCACAATCTCACTTCTAGAAATCTACCCAAAGGAAAAAAAAATCTTTTTATAAAAAAGACACCTGCATGCTATGTTTATTGCAGCACTATTCACAATAGCAAAGTCAGGAAACCAACCTGTGTCCATCAATGATTGATTGAATAAAGAAAAGGTGAAATGTATCTATATATCTATATACACCATGTACACACACACACACACACACACACACACACACACCATGGAATCCTATGCTACCATAAAAAAGAATGAAATCAGCCTCTTTGCAGCAACATGGATACAGTTGGAGGCCATTATCCTAAGTGAACTAATGCAGAAACAGAAAATCAAGTACTACGTGTTTTCACTTATACGCGGGAATGAAACATTGGGTACGTATGGACATAAAGATAGAAATAATAGACACTGGGGACTCCAAAAGCAGGGAGAGGTGGAGAGGGGTGAGAGTTGAAAAATTACCTATTGGGCACAATGCTTACTATTTGGGTGATGGGTACACTAGAAGTTCAGTCCTCACCATTACACAATATACCCATGTAACAAACAAGTGCATGTAGCCTCTGAATCTAAAATAAAATTTTTAAAAATGTGTAACTTTGTGTGTAGACATCAGCTTGTGGATCTGGAGTAAAAAAAAAAACATAGTGTCAGTCCTTCATTCAAAGGAGCTTTTATGTTGTACATTTTTATATGTTTTGTTGACTTATTTTTCTTTTTATTTATTTGTGAGAAAATACATACAGGATGAGGGATTAGGTATTATGTTTTATTATATCATGATACAATAAAAAATTTTGAGAAACAAAAATAATCCCCAGAGAAAAATATAATCTTCAGTTTTCTGGCATTATACTTATCTTGCATTGGAAAAAAGACAATAGAGGAGATGATGGAAAGTTTATCATCTCTGTTTACCATTTGACTGCATTTCCATTTCGAATTTTGAGGTATATTACCTCTAACCTAATTGCAAATACTAATTTGTTCCATGATTTAAAATAAATATTGTTACCGTACTTGTAGAATGCTTCTGCATGTTCCTTACGACCTTTGCATCTTATTGATTGCATTGCTGGTTTCTATGGGAACAGAGTGGAGAAGTTAATTAAGATCAGGAGGTTCAAACTGAAGAAGAATAGAATTTTCAACACAGTTCATTTATCATGTACATTTAAATTAGTTACTTTAATAAAATATCTATTGGAGTAGAATTGTGATGGCTGAATCACCTTAATAAAAACAAATGATACATGTTAAAAGTTTAACTTCACTTATTTGTACTCAATTCATCCCATTAAGAAGCATTTTGGCTTTGGTAATCAAATTAACAGAAGTCATTAATAAAGGTTTCTGCATCTCAATACTGTTATTCTGAGACTTTTAGTATTGATTAGTATGTATTATGCATTATTCTTATTATTTATTAAGAATAAGCCTGAGGTTTCTATTAAGTTATTATCTTCTATTTTCAAATGTACCCTTTCATTTCTGGCTTCATGATCCTCTGGCTGTGACTATGTAAACTATTTCTCATTTTCCAGTTGCTTTCTAGATTCTATCTGCAGGGGGCAACAGGGAAAGTTTAGGAGGCAGGAGGGTGGAAGAAAAGACTTCTTTTCTGTTGACTTACTGTTTCTATCAGGATCTATTCAACAATGACCATTCACCCAGAAGAACTAATGGGTTCCAGCCTCTGACACTCAAACTGTGACTAATTTGTTATATAATTTTCCATCTTTACATTACATTTTACATTAGAAATACCTAATGTATTTCTGCTTTTCGAGCTGATACAAGGCCACGATTGGTTTCACACGTAAAAGGTAGAGTGTTAGGTACCTTAAAAGAGAAGAAGGCCTATTTTTCCATTATAAAAAGATCAGGATATAAAGAAATGTAGGAAAAAAGATTATTCCTCAGACCCAGCATCCACATACTGCTTATGCTAACACTTTGCTTCTTTTCTTTACAGTATTTTTTGTACATAGGTACACACTTTTTTTTCAGAAACATGCACTATCATATTCTGCATCCGCTTTTATCTCCTTTACTTTTTTTTTGCCTTATATCAGTACGATGTTTTGTGTTTACATACTCCTCATAAACATCATTTGCATAGCTATGTAACATTCTGTAGGCTATTTTACTACTACTCGATATTTAGATATTTGGGTTGCTTTCAAATGGTTTGTAATTGTAAATGCTGTCATAAACACCTTTGCACAGCAAGGTATTTTTTAAATATATTCAGACTTTTTTTTTCCCTTAGGATTTAAACCTTTGTTTTTATATTGTGCCAGTCTCTTAATGCAAAACCACAGCCCTCTTCAAAGTCTGCACACCCACAGATCTTTCTGGAATTTCTCAGAGGTTGTCTTTCACAGAACTCACAAAGCATTCTTCCACTTTCCTGTGCTTCTTTGTGTGTGTCTGTGTGTCTCCATATGTGTATTTTTCCTTATTCATTGTCCCTATATTAATATTATAGATAGTTGACGGCATATATATATATATATATATATATATATATATATATATATATATATATTACTTTAGACTGCGTTAGGAGAGTTATCACACCACTCCTGCTTTGCTAAAATAAAATTCATATTTAATATATACTTAGCATTTAATTACACATATTAGTATATATATTAATACTGCTATGATACAAAGTATTACTCTGCTGTGCAGTAGGAGAAATAAAAAGCAATCATAATGTTATATTTTTAATTATAAGACTATTTGGGTTATAAACTGAATAGTGATATTGAAATGGTCAATATGAACCAATCAGATGTTCAATATAAACCAGAATAAATCAATTAATGTCTTAGTTTTCATTTTTTTCACATGTATAATGGTATTATACTTGTAACCACACTTACTTCAAAAGATATTACAAAAGTCAAATTGTATCTCTATGTCACTGTCCGTCTATGTCCATATTTATGTCTATACGTAAGTACACTGTATACCATGAAGCAAATGAAAATATAAAGCAGTCATTGCTATTTTTCTAAGCAATATAAAAGTTAAAACCCATAACCTTGTGTTTAAGAGAAACAGAAACTTAATCCAATATGCTCAAAGAAGGTCTGGAGCAATCAGTTTTGGATTTCTATAAACATCTCATGTGCTGCATTTGTCTCAACTTAAGAGCCAAAGTTGTCTTCTGTTCCCATTTTCCCATTCTTCTTCTCTCAATTTCTTGGCACTTCAAAGGGACTCTTTTACCTTTAAACAAATTCTAGCTAGTTTATAACGTGATGTATTAACCTCCAGTCGAAAGAGCTGCTCTTGGTTACATTTATGGTTTTCCAAAGGCCACAATATATTTGTTCAACTATAATAATAGAACTAGCAGGAGGGAAGAACTTATTATTTGAAACAAGAACATTTTATTTTTGAAAGACAACTTCTAAAGTCATATGAGTAGCCTAATGCCCTTTGTAATTCAATTTCCTTCCAATAAAAACATAATAATTCAGCACTTGCAATATGCTCGGCACTGTGTTTTGAGCTAAGTGTGATCTCATTTGCACCACACAACAACAATGTAAGGTATTTATTAATCTTGTTTTACAAAAGAGGAAACTGGGGATCAGAAAAGTTACAGAGCATTTCCAAGTTCATGCAAGGTGACAGAATCTGGATTTAAATGTCAGTTAGCCTGACCCAATAACCCATTTTCTTTCATGGGGATAATTATTATATTTTAAATAGCAGTAAGTAAGGATAAAGGCTCTTTTATGTGCCTGTCACTGCCGAGGCACTGAGTTTCAATGCAATAATTCTTGTAGAGCATATTTTAGAAATTTGCTCAAAATATAATTATAATTAAGTTGGACAATTTGATTACAAGCATGCACTTGCCATAACTATGATATTTTTTATGGTTAAGAATTTCTTGGTACTTAATACTCTAAAGAAAAAATAACCTAGCTCCCAGCCTCCTAAAACCAGAATTCCTCAATTCTTACATTCTTGTCCTTTATCATCTTTATCAGGCCAATCAATATTGAAGGGTTATACCTTGAAAAAAGCTTCTGATACATTGTAGAGGAAACTTCATGTGTTGGAAATATATGAAAATATATTAAATTTATATATACTATATCCCTATGTTTATGCAGATTATTTGTCTAAATATATATACACACACACACTATATATATATAATATATAAAAACTATATATATAAAATATATAAAAACTTTATATATATATATACATATATATACCATTTTTCATTAAACACAGTGGCCAAATATTTTGGGTTCAGTTGTTTCCAGTGATACTTCAAATCTTCAAATGTTGGTCAGTGTTCCTCAGCTCCTCTATTTTTTTTTTTTTTTTTTTTTTGAGACGGAGTCTTGCTCTATCGCCCAGGCCGGACTGCGGACTGCAGTGGCGCAATCTCGGCTCACTGCAAGCTCCGCTTCCCGGGTTCACGCCATTCTCCTGCCTCAGCCTCCCGAGTAGCTGGGACTACAGGCTCCCGCCACCGCGCCCGGCTAATTTTTTGTATTTTTAGTAGAGACGGGGTTTCACCTTGTTAGCCAGGATGGTCTCGATCTCCTGACCTCATGATCCACCCGCCTCGGCCTCCCAAAGTGCTGGGATTACAGGCGTGAGCCACCGCGCCCGGCCGCTCCTCTACTATTAAATACATCTGCCCTTTCATCATGAAAGTACCTTAAATATTTAAATAATAGCGAACATAGAAGTTGACAAGAATCTATAAATTAAGAAAAGCTAAAGTGTAAATACATGTGATACAATTTAACTATTGGGGTGCATCTTCTTATTCATTTACACTGACTTAGTAATACATGTTCCATCAAGAGTTTTGGAAGAACCTTTAGGAAACTTAGGCTGTTAAGTATCCCTCCATATTCATATTTTTTTTTCTTTTGAGACGTAGTTTCACTCTTTGGCCCAGGCTGGAGTGGACTAGCGCAATCTCGGCTCACTGAAACCTCTGCCTCACCGGGTTCAAGCGATTCTCCTGCCTCAGCCTCCCAAGTAGCTGGGATTAGAGGCATGAACCACCGTGCCCGGCTAATTTTTGTACTTTTAGTAGAGATGGGGTTTCACCATGTTGGCCAGGCTGGTCTCAAACTCCTGACCTCAGGTGCTTCACCCACCTCGGCCTCCCAAAGTGCTGGGATTACAGGCATGAGCCACCGCGCCCAGCCCATACTCATCTTTTTAGAAAAGTCGGAATTGGATTGGATTTGATATCTTTTCTAAATAATAAATTTTGTGCATCCAATTTTGGGCTCAATTTAGCCAATCATGCAGCTGATAATTGTCTACAAATAACATGACTATATTTGTCACTGAGCTGACCAAGTATTATGAACATAATGCTGACAGGTCTGAAAATGTTTCACTTGACTAATGTGGAAATAGGGTGAATTATTAAAAATATTCTCACTTAGAATTGACAGTGTATAACCACCTATTAAATCTGAATATGTAGCACGTTTGTATATGAAACACTCAGATTTAATTAAATGGTTACATATCTTGAAACAATAGCCTGCCAACCAGGATTAAAGCTATAAACTACCTGGAAAATGAAAAGCACAGTTTATCCCACCAATTCCAGAGTGGAAATCAGAAAACATAAAATATCAGGAGAAAGCTTGTAAATTTCTTATATTCTGTTGCTTTATAACTACAAGAAAATCTGGACTGTTCACTCGCTAAAAGTGAATTATGTATTGGGTCACATTCTGGGGTCATTAGAATTATACAAGTTAGAATTAAGGTCTCATGTGATACTGAATGTTCATGCTTTTAACCTGAGAGTGACATGTTCTAAGGTTTATTTGGTGATATTAGGGGCACATGTATGTTTACCAAACTTGATTCTAGTACCTTTCAAAAGAATTCCCTTGAAAATAACTTGCTAGGAGCCTATGTTAGCTTTCAATTTTTGTGGATCTTAAGATATATGCCACCTAATACAAAAGTTACTATAAAACTCACAGTCTCCCTAAAACTTTTATTCTACTTCTTTCTTCTATTAAGAGCAAGGGATTATAGCAGGTATGTAAAAAAAAACTTGGAGTGAGTAGGCTTGAGAGACAAATAATGGTAATTGTGTGTAAATGGTAGAGGAGGGTAGGAAATGTAGAAAAACTAGCACTTTCTTTAGCTGGCTTCCTCTTTAAATATTGCTGCATATATGTGCATTTCAGGAGCATGCATTGAGAAAGCACACTAAAGTTTTGATCATTCTTGCAGTGAAAGCCTTTACCTTGGCTAATTTTATGTTAACATTTTTATTAGAGAATTTTGCACCTTCAATTAATCGGTGGTTTTTTGTTTTGCCTGTATTTTTTTTCTTTTCCTGCAGTTCCTTTCAAAACCAAAGAGCAAGGATTCTCCCAGATGTACCCCCAGTCTTGACCTTCTTATGTGCTATAGGAATTTCCTTTTTGAGTGACTGAGGCTTGGCAGTAATATAACAATGGCTCTGCTGGCCCTGTCAGACCTCTGCAAGGATATCAGCCTTTTATATTTATTCTAGTCTGGGAGATGATTTCCTGTATTGGGTAGAGGGCACTGGTATTACTTTAAATAGAATTTCCTATCTGCTTTTTCTCCCCACCACCTCATCACTCTTAAAATGACTGCCAAAATTGTTCCTGCTCTATTTTAAGTCAACACCATTTGACCCTTTGCTTTACTGGAAGTGCTTTCTAACTCCTAAGCTGTAAGGATTGTACTGTTTGCTGTTTGCCTATTTTAAACTTTCTGGTAGTGTAGTCTGTTTGGGTAAACTCTGAAATCCTGGTCATTTTCCTGACAACGTTTTAACTGCCTCAGTGCATTCTCATCCCAAATATTGTATCAAGCACTAAAATATTATTTATCAATAATTGAATGGAATTGCAGTTTGAATTCCTTAGAAACTCTGAACAGAGTAAATCTTAACCTGTTTGAGGGGATGGAGACAGTTTTCATACAAACTTTTTTGGATAACATTTCTTAATTAACTCATTTCTGCTCAACTCTTCTCCCTTGGGGAAAATGTGTTTTTACGTAGAGGAGGCAAGTTGTGTCAAGCACATCAGTGGCTGCTACAGTGCTTGATTTCTCCCCACAACTAGGAATCACTAGAAGCTTTCTATGTTTGCACCTCCAGACCCAAACTTTTTGTCCCCAGAAACCATTAGATCCAAGGGTAGACCCAAGACTATCTCCCACAAATTCCACAGGTGGCATGGAAAATTTTAAAAAGTGTGGGTTTGAGTTATGCTATGAGCAAGTTTCACAAACTCTACTGCTGGGGCTCTTAAGCTTCCCTGATTTCTGCCCTGCCCAATCAAATTTTACTTTGATTTTCTTATGTACCCTGGAATCTTCCCACTGCATTCCTCTTTTCATTTATTTGTTTAAGTGTTCAAACCAGCCAGAGTCAGTTTCTTTTGCTTGAAACTAAATGAACTAACACAGAAGGATTGAGAGAGAAAAAATATTGAATCAAAAGATAAGGAGGACAAAGAAAATTAGAAAATTTTGGCACTTTTGTTGGAGATGATAATGGGAGTAGGGTAGAAATAATTATAGTCCTCTATAAAGGAATCTGAGATGCTGAAGGAACTCCTCAAGATAGGTGAAAAGAGATAGAAGGATGGTCCTCAGAAAGCATGCTTATTATAAATAAATGGTAAATGGAAGATTTTGGACAAGAAGTTGGGATAGGTGGACTCTGGCCATGAGCTAAAATGAATTTTGAACTGTCCTCTGAAATATCTACTTGTCTTTCCCACACCTACCTAAAGGGCCTAGCTAAATAGAAAAAAAAAAGTCTGAAAATGAAGGAAATTGAATTTGCCCCTAAAGATGTCTCTGAAAATGTTTATCTCTTGGTCTGGGTGGTAATTTATCAAGTTACATAAGTGTATAAAAATTGAATGAGCTATAATATAAGATTTAGGCTCTTTACCTATATTAAAGAAGGAGGAGGATAAAGAGGGGGAGAAGAAGGAGGAGAAGAAAGAAAAGCAGAAGAGAGGGAGGGTCTTATTTGCTCCTAACCTGGCCTGCT
Organism: Homo sapiens; assembly: GCF_000001405.40. Classification (NCBI taxonomy): domain Eukaryota; kingdom Metazoa; phylum Chordata; class Mammalia; order Primates; family Hominidae; genus Homo; species Homo sapiens. The sequence continues at coordinate 49,814,389 of NC_000002.12, forward strand.
CTGAACTTTCCAGAAGTACAGAGGATAACTAGAATGCCCCCCACCTCCACCCCACCTATTTAGTAACCTAAATAATAGTACAAGGGAAAGTAGACATCAACACAACACAGATGTCATGTAGGTAAGGATGGTTTAGGGCAGCTAAAACCATGCTGAAAGCTGCCCAGCATCATTCAACAAAGATCACATTTGATGTGCTCAGTTTCTATCTTCTTTGTAGAATTATGCTTCCTATTTTATATATGGAAAATGCATTGATTTTTAAGACACATAATTATTTTATATACCACTTAGAAAAACAACACTGTCAATTATCAATTTACCACAGATTTTTAAAATAATTACTTGAGAGTCTTTTAGATTTATTTTGAAATCTTTTCCAATGCATCACTCACTTTTATGCATATCTAGAAAAGAAAAAAATGTTATACTTATTATAATTTATCATGAATATATAATAAATGGTTACGGTGTTATAAAAATGTGGAATAAGATGTGACAGGTAATCCTTCTACATATACAAAATGTAACATAACTTCTTGTACTTATATAAGTCTTCTTTGAGTAGTCTTAGCACTTACATTGTGTTCCATGGGCTGACAGCATGGACAACATTTGGAAGCTTGTGAGAAATTTATAATCTCAGGACCCAATCCAGACTTAGTGAATCAGAGTCTGCATTTTAAGGAAGTTCCCAGGTGATGCTTAAGTGAGCTAAATTTGGAAAAACATTGTTGCAAAGCATTTGATTGTTGCTTTGCAAAAAAAAATATATATATAGAATAACGGTCATTCCTCTAATAAAAAGGAATTTGTTTGCTTAGTATAAAATTTACAAAACATCATTTTCTTTAAGTGTATTCCTGTGAACATAGTAAGTTTTTTTTAATGCCAACTCACAGAACAAGAATTTTGGAAGATATTTTAAAGAACGACTAAACTAAATATATACAGTAGAAACAATGAAGCAAATTCCATTGTAATAATGACAACCTGAAGAAAATGTCCAAATTTACAAATGCATAGACCATGGCAGTTAATGTCATTTGCCCACAGTAATTGTAATGTACTATCTATTGCATAATGCACACTAATGTTAGGAATGCCCAGATTTTTTTTAATTCATGCCTTAGAATGAAATTTAGATATTTTTAACAATCCCAAGTGTGAAAAAGCATCCTGTTAGCAAGAAGAATCTGTTGACCTTGGCTTCAGTCCTGTGAGATTTTCCTTTGTTAGAAAGTGGTGATAAAGTTGCAGTTCCTTCGTTCAAATTACATCAGTTTTTTCTGGGAAAACTAGAAGAAACAGTGAGGAAGAGATATTTTTAAAAAATATTAGAATAGAGATTGAAACAAATGGAGCATCATCTACATTTAACTGTACCAGTGTTATTCAGAGTGTGATACACATTCCACATGCTTCAGTCATCATCTTGAAGCCTCTTTTCAAAATGATCTCGGCTCACTGCAAGCTCCGCCTCCCGGGTTCACGCCATTCTCCTGCCTCAGCCTCCCAAGTAGCTGGGATTACAGGCGCCCGCCACTACGCCCGGCTAACTTTTTGTATTTTTAGTAGAGACGGGGGTTCACTATGTTAGCCAGGATGGTCTCGATCTCCTGACCTCGTGATCCGCCCGCCTCGGCCTCCCAAAGTGCTGGGATTACAGGCGTGAGCCACGGCGCCCGGCCTGAGATCATATTTAAAGAACTGTGATTGGAGGATATACCCACTAGGCACTGAGTACAGATAGGACTGAAAAGCTTCTGGGAATATTTAGTATTCTGGAAAATGAGGAGAAACCAGCAAAGTAGACCAAGAGGGAGAGTGCTACGAAGTAGGGGAGAACAAAGCAACAGTGGGTTTCTGAATTTCAAAGGGAAAAAAGCAGGCTTCAGAAATAACACAAGGCATTGTCTACTGATACCCAACACCATCCCATCCCCCTAATCTTTTCCCTATAATAAAACTGAAAACCTGGAAGGAGCATTTTGCAGAATCCTTTACCAGCAGAGATCTATTTTACTTTACATCTCTGAAAAACATTCACTCATTCATCAAAGATGAAATAGAAAGAATAGCTATTAGATTCCAAGAGCAGTGGCCACTTGGATGTACAAAAGTGGTCCCCAACCTTTTTGGCCCCAGGGACCAGTTTAGTGGAAGACAATTTTTCCATGGATGAAGGTGGTGGGGGAATGGATTAGATTCTCATAAGGAGCGTCCAACCTGGATCCCTTGCAGGTTCAGTTCACACTAGGGTTCATGCTCCTATGAGAATCTAATGCCACTGCTGATCTGACAGGAGGTGGAGCTCAGGCGGTAATACTCACTGGCCAGCCGCTCACCTCCTGCTGTGTGGTTCGGTTCCTAAGAGCCCACAGATCAGTATGTGTGTGTAGGGGGGCGGGACGGGGGTCACAGTTGGGGAAACCTGGTGTACAAGAATGAGCTTTGCAGTGATTTCAATGTGAAGTCCTATTAATTATTTTTATTGTTTCTAAAATTATTACAAAGCTGAGAGGAAGCTGGGTTAATTGTTTGAGGTTTCAGGCAATTCTGGACTTTTCTGATTTCTTTGAGGCCAACTGTAGTTCTCTCAACCCTACCAATGGTTTCGTAGACATAAATTTAATTCTGTAAAATCTCTTCCTGCTGAAAAACTGACAATAGTTTCTGTTTTCCTGCTTAAACCCGAAATGATATAAAGGCAGAATAATCAACTCTTGTCAATTGCCGCTACTAAATCGGTAAGATAAAGACTGAGTATACACCATCAAATTTACAATGTTGATGCCATTGATGATCTCGTTGTGACCATTTTCATTGGAATACTATGGAGAAAACATTCTTTGCATGACTTCTATGGAAATGGGAGGATAAAAACCAATTTTGATGAGTTTTTTATAAAGCAGGGGTCTCCAAGCTGGGGGCAATGAACTGGTACTGGTCTGTGGCTTGTTAGGAACCGGGCTGCACAGCAGGAGATGAGTGGCTGGTGAGTGAGCATTACCACCTGAACTCTGCCTCCTGTCAGATCAGCAGTGGCATTAGATTCTCATAGAAGCTCAAACCCTATTGTGAACTGTGCATGCAAGGGACCTAGGTTACACGCTTCTTATGAGACTCTGACTAATGTCTGATGATCTAAGGTGGAACAGTTTCCTCTCAAAACCATCCCCCCAACCACCCTCCCCCTTGTCCATGGAAAAATTGTCGTCCACGAAACAGTCCCTGGTGCCAAAAACACTGGGGACTGCTGCTGTACCGGGAAGAATATAATTGCTAATTGGAAGATAATGTGGAGTTAGAGGAACATTTTTTGTAGCGGTTATTGTTATTTAAAAGAAACATTAGAACATGTAGGTAATAAGCCAATGTATATAATCCAATAGAGAGGAGAAACGTACTGATGTCAGAAGGAGAGGGACAGTTGTAAGAAAATACTTTAACAGGAGGGAGATGAGATTGTATGAACAAATGAAGAAGACAGTTCATGGACAAATGAAGACTGAAGTCCAAGAACAGTGCATTCAACTTACAGGAGGACAGGTATAGTACATGAGCACCAACACAGCGGGTTTGGTAGATTTGGTAGTGGGGGCATGTTGAAACTCTTCTGATTGTTTCTGTTGTGTTAATGAAATGAGATGTAACTTCATCAGCTGAAGATGAGGAGAAAAAAAGGTGTTTAAGGCTTGAGAAAGAAGGAGGACGTGTAAAATAGTCATCTTGGGGAATGGTAGAGTGAATGGACATAAGAAATGTATCTGGATTGAAGAGTGATACTAAGGCTCTGTTCAGGATAGGAGTCATGAATTAAAGAGAAACATGTTGACGTGTTTGTGTGTTTTTCTCCCAAAATTTCAGCTGCTCTGATATAGAGTTAAAATAGACAGATAAATGAACTTAACTGGGGATACCTTTAGCAGCTGAGTTTAAGAAAGGAAAAAAAGGGGCAAGGGATCAATGTGTTGGAAAACAAGTGGTGATAGTAATGGTTTATGGAACATAAGCTACATAACAAAGGGATTGAGGATATCAGGGGAGGAAGGGTCTAGTGAAAGAAGGCAAGGTCAACTCACAGAAACTCGTGATATGGCAAAAGAATTACTGGAGTTGGGATAATGGCAGAAAACACAGGGACTGTTGACTAGAGATGTACTGCTATATACGGAGGCTGTGAAAAAGTGACAGTTATTGGAAATAGCAAGAGCATTGTTACGGTAGTGGGTATCTACGGTGATGAGTACTACACAGTTATTGAAGACATGTATGTTATGAGTTGATAAGCCAGAATATTGGGTAGATCACTTTTGTGAATGTAGAAATCACTAAGGATCAGTAGTGATGTTAGTAGTATGAAGTGCAAGAGAATGATCTGGCACTGAAATGTTCAATAAATCAGATAACGATTATGAGGAAAGCAGATGATTGCCATTTGGAAATATAGTGTGACATTAGTGTGATAATTGTGTTTCAACATAATTGGAATTTCAGGGAGGCTAAAGGAGATAGCGCTTGGAAAAAACTATGAGGATCAAAAAGGAGATCAACCCTACCTCTAGGACTAGTTGTACCTGGAATGGTAAGAGAGAGAAAAAAAAATCATCCATTTGAGAGGGTTACAGAAGTATCAGGGTTCTCAGGAGAGAGCCTAGTTCAGAAGCACAGTTGAGGCTAGTGTGGGATTATAATGGATGGGAGATTGAAACAGAACAGGACATATACAAAAGAGCTCAGATAATGAGAGATAATATGAGAATATTGGGTGTGATAAACAGTAACAGAAGATACACACCTCACATAACAGCTGATGGTCCCAAGACAGATGATAATCATGGGGAGGCCAAGGGGTTGTGAATGTTGGGGGAAGAAAATGGGGATGGTGGTGGACTCTTGATATAAGACCTGAAACCCTGTGAGTTCCTTCTTAAATCACAGTAATGGGGTTGTAAGTCCTGGCAGAGAAGAGGTGTCACCAAGAAACTTAGGAAGGTCTTTGGCTGTTCTGCTAGTAGAGATATTTAGGCCAGAGAACTGGTGTTTCTTGGCTGCCTTAAAAGTTGTATTATTTTTTCTCATCTTCAAGGTATTAATAGTATTTCTATCTATTCCATTGGCTAGAATCATGCAATGCAAGGGGTAATCATTGAGTTAATACCTAATTGTTGGAAATCTCTGTCAGTTTAATTTTGGCAAAACTCACAGAATGGTAGCAAATTACAGTAAAAGAAATGTTATAATTGCTAAAATGAAAAATAGAAATATCCATTGTTTTTGGAGTTCAATATTTCATAATGTTTATATGACATGATTTTTTAAATCAAAAGAAAACAATAAGTTCAATCGTTTGAGTTAAAGTGCTACATAAACTTTGTATATGTCCATCTCAGCTACAGATAACTATATTCTAGTTCCAGAAAAATATACAAATTTGTTTACTTGTTGCAAATCATTAAATGTTTGTTATGCCAGGAACTGTGCTAAATTTTACAGACAAAATGATAAAAATATAGAGCCTCTGACTTCAATAAGTTTATAATTTAGCAGAGTCATATAGGCAAATGCTAAATTACAATTCAATATGACACTTATTATGATAGAGTTATAACAGCAGAAGAGATAAAGAAGCCTTTTATTTGGGGGGAAGTCTTGAGAAATTAACAAAGATTTTTGCCTGAATATTTGTTCAAATTTTTATAGTATAGACTGGAAAGCATAGAACCTCAAGTTTCCCTTTACATTTCCTTTTTAAAGATGGGATATTTTGCAAGTCTCTACTTCCTATTCCCTCCACTTTCTTAGCTCTTCAGTCAATAGTTGAGCAAGTATTTTTAGCCGCAAAATGCAACTTTCCAAGCCTCACCACCATATCATCTCTCACAGAAGGAAAGAAGAAAAAATGATTCTTTACCTTTTTCTTTTCCATCTTCCAAAATACTACCCGACCTCCGCTCCATTTGGGTTGGAAGAGGTGTTTGTTTGTTTGTTTGTTTGTTTGTTTGTTTTCAGATATTTGCATTGTGCTGACTATATTAGTCCATCTTCACACTGCTGATAAAGACACACACAAGACTGGGTAATTTTTAAAGAAAAAGAGGTTTAATGGACTCACTTCCACATGGCTGGGGAGGCCTCACAATCATGGTGGAAGGAGAAAGGCACATCTTACATCTTACATGGCAGCAGACAAGAAAGAATGAGAGCCAAGAGAAAGGGGAAACCCCTTATAAAACCATCAGATCTTGTGAGACTTATTCACTACCATGAGAACAGTATGAGGGAAACCGCCCCCATCATTCAATTATTTCCCACTGGGTCCCTCCCACAATATGTGGGAATTATTGGAGCTACAATTCAAGATGTATGGGTGGGGACACAGCCAAATCAGATCAGTGACCTTGATGTGTTCCCTGTGTAAGAAGTTGCCTTAGCCATAATTTTCTAAAAACTAGCACTCAGAGCAAAGCCCATACACTAATGCTTTTTTGGGAAAAGAAATACCAAGACAAGAGTGAAGTAAAGGGGACATGACACAAGAAAGGAGCACAAGCAACACTACATGTTGCATTAATGAGCTGCTACAATTTATAAGGAAACCCGCATTATTACTCATGTTAGAGGCCATATAATGCCACTGCTTCTTGGTAGCATCTATCCAAGGAGAGAAAGAGAAAACATTTTCAATTGATAGCTTCTTGCCGTATTCTGTTTTTCATTGGTCAAGGGTCAGCCTATAAGCCCTTAATTTTTCTGTACTTCTGGGAATTCTATGTGGCCCCTCTGGGTAACTGCTGGGAAAGGATCATCAGTAGATCCAGTCAGGCTGAAATTGGGCACTTGAGATGCTAAATGCTATATGGCTCCAATCAAAGCTAACTCATGAAGCCATATCCAGGCTCAGCTCCTGCCTCAGGGACAAACTGAATCAACCGGTAGTATTTCAAGATGAGGCAACAACAGTAAAGGCCAGGGTATTAAGACTATAAGAGCATGTTGAGCACGCTCCATCTGAGAAACATGACAAATGTCTAAGGGTTACAGGACAAATAATATTGATTGTATCTGGGGAGATGCATAGTTTGGATCTGGCAGAGTTCATGTCTTGCACTACCCAGATCTGCTTACAACCTCTCTTGTATAAGCATACAAGGCATTCACTTCCATCCTGAGAGAAGAGATACAAGTCCAGTTCTTCAAAGCATAACTGATTGCAGTATTCCAAAAAGACTTGAAAAATGTAAGAAAAAAACACTATATCCCCTGTCATTGCTGCTGGTTCCAGAACAATAATTGATATTTATCATCTCCCTATTCTATTGCCAACTTGAGATTTTTCTTGACCAAGACTTTAACTAGTCTTGGTTGCTTGCCTAATGGGGTCCCCCAGCCTTTCATCCACAAGGAGTCTAAGATCTCAGTTGCCCTACCATTTAGGGGATGGTGGCTGCTACAATTGTCCAATCACAGTTATCACTGGATGATGTAATACCAAGAGACCCCCTAGAAAGTCCCTGGTGGGAGATATATTCCTCTTGCCTCAATTGTATGATATCACTCTCAGCTCATTAAAGAAATTATGTATTAATCCACTGAGAAAACTAGCTTCTTTCATTTCTGACTGGCTTGCTGATGGTAGCCAGATGGTAATAACAGCTTCTGGAAAAACATTTTCATTTTGGGAACCAGTTAACTAACTTGGCATTTGGGGAACCAAGTTAACTAACTTGGCAGAGACTAATTTTGCAGAGTTAGGAAACAAAACTTCTGCAAGAGGGTCACCAAGAGTGATGGTAAGAAGGCTCCAGTCTTTTTTTTTTTTCTTGGACTTCTAGTTACTGAGAACACAGCTCCATGTATCAGTCATTTGTTCAATGAATATACTAGATTCTGTAGAACAGCTTTCCAACTCAGAAAATGTTGTCCCTGAGCTAACAGGTTAACTGAGCCTTCAGGATGCCTTTCCACCAATGACAACTTCTAGATGATGCAAAGCCAGTGAACTCCATATTTGTACCTCAATTTTCAAAGCCCTTTAAAATAAAATAGGTTCCTGTGAGACAATATTATATAGGACACTATGTTGATATCTCAGGCATTCTAGAACCACTCGGGTGACTTCCAGAGGAAAAGACAAATCCAGATCAATGTATATATTGATTTTGGTTAGGAATAATTTCTACCCCCTCCAAAGTCCAAGGCAATCAACCAATCACTGGAGGTTGTCTTTTTTTTTTTAATTTTTCTTTAAATTTGGGGACACATGTGCAAAACGTGCAGATTTGTTACGTAGGTATATGTGTGCCATGGTGGTTTGCTGAACCTACTGACCCATCCTCTAAGTTCCCTACCCTCCCTCCCAATCCCCCAATAGGCCCTGGCATATGTTGTTCTGCTTCCTGTGTGGAGAAGACATATGTGTGCAGGTGTCTTTATAATACAATGATTTCTATTCCTTTGGGTATATACCACATAATGGGATAGCTGAGTCAAATGATATTTCTGGTTCTAGATCCCTGAGGAATCACCATACTGTCTTCCACAATGGTTGAACTAATTTACGTTCCCACCAACGGTGTGAAAGCATTCCTATTTCTCCAGTGCTTCACCAGCATCTATTGTTTCTTGACTTTTTAATAATTGCCCTTCTGATTGGCATGAGATGGTCTCTCATTGTGGTTTTGATTTGCATTTGTCTAATGATCAGTGATGTTGAGCTTTTTTTCATATGTTTGTTGGCTGCATAAACATCTTTTGAGAAGTGTCTGTTCATATCCTTTGACCACTTTTTAATGGGGTTGTTTGTTTTTGTTCTTGTTAATTTGTAAAGTTCCTAGTAAATTCTGGATATTAGATCTTTGTCAAATGAGTAGATTGCAAAAATTTTCTCCCATTCTGTAGGTTGCCTGTTTACTCTGATGATAGTTTCTTTTGCTGTGCAGAAGCTCTTTAGTTTAATTAGATCCCATTTGTCAATTTTGGCTTCTGTTGCAATTGCCTTTGGTGTTTTCATTATGAAGTCTTTGCCCAACCTATGTCCTGAATGGTATTGCCTAGGTTTTCTTATAGGGTTTTTATGGTTTTGGGTTTTACATTTAAGCCTTGAATCCAACTTGAGTTGATTTTTGTATAAGGTGTAAGGAAGGGGTCCAGTTTCAGTTTTCCACATATGGCTAGCCAGTTTTCCCAGCACCATGTATTGTAGAAAATCCTTTCCCCATTGCTTGTTTTTGTCAGGTTTGTCAAAGATCAGATGGTTGTAAATGTGTGGTGTTATTTCTGAGGTCTCTGTTCTGTTCCATTGGTCTATGTGCCTGTTTTGGTACCAGTACCATGCTGTTTTGGTTACTGTATCTTTGTAGTGTAGTTTGAAGTCAGGTAGTATGATGCCTCCAGCTTTGTTCTTTTTGCTTAGCATTGCCTTGGCTATATGGGATCTTCTTTGATTCCCCATATGAAATGTAAATTAGTTTTTTCTAATTCTGTGAAGAATGTCAATGGTATTTTGATGGGAGTAGCACTGAATCTATAAATTACTTTGGGCAGTATGGCCATTGTCATGGTATTGATTCTTCCTGTCCATAAGCATGGAATATTTTTCTGTTTGTTTGTGTCCTCTCTTATCTCCTTGAGCTGTGGTTTGTAGTTCTCCTTGAAGAAGTCCTTCACATCCCTTATTAGCTGTATTCCTAGGTATTTTATTATCTTTGTAGCAGTTGTGAATGGGGGTTCATTCATGATTTGGCTCTTTGCTTGTTCACTGTTGGTGTAAAAGAATACATGTGATTTTTGCACATTGATTTTGTATCCTGAGACTTTGCTGAAGTTGCTTATCAGCTTAAGGAGTTTTGGGGTTGAGATGACAGGGTTTTCTGAATATAGAATCATGTCATCTGCAAACAGAGATAATTTGACTTCCACTTTTCCTATTTAAATACACTTTATTTCTTTCTCTTGCCTGATTGCCTTAGCCAGAACTTCCAATACTATGTTGAATAGGAGTGGTGAGAGAGGGCATTTTTGTCTTGTAATGGTTTTCAAAGGGAATGCTTCCAGCTTTTAAACATTCATTATGATATTGGCTGTGAATATTTCATAAGTAGCTCTTATTATTTTGAGATATGTTCCATCAATACCTAGTTTATTGAGAGTTAACTGAAGGGATGTTGAATTTTATCAAAGGCCTTTTCTTCATCTATTGAGATTATCATGTGGTTTTTGTCTTTGGTTCTGTTTATGTGATGGATTATGTTTATTGAATTGCATATGTTAAACCAGCCTTGCATTCCAGGAATGAAGCCAACTTGATCGTGGTGGATATGTTTTTTGATGTGCTGCTAGATTTGGTTTGCCAGTATTTTATTGAGGATTTTTGTATCAATATTCTTCAGGGATATTGGCCTGAAGTTTTTCTTTTTTGTTGTGTCTCTGCCAGGTTTTGGTATAATGATGATGCTGGCTTCATAAGATGAGTTAGGGAGGAGTCTTTCTTTTTCAATTTTTGGAATAGTTTCAGAAGGAATGGTACCAGCTCCTCTTTGTACCTCTGGTAGAATTTGGCTGTGAATCCATCCGGTCCTGGGCTTTTTTTGGTTGGTAGGCTATTAATACTGCCTCAATTTCAGAACTTGTTATTGGTCTATTCAGAGATTCTGCTTTTTCCTGGCTTAATCTTTGGAGGGTGTATGTGTCTAGGAATTTGTCCATTTATTCTAGATTTTCTAGTTTATTTGCATAGAGATGTTTACAGTATTCTCTGATGGTAGTTTGTATTTCTGTAGGGTCAGTGGTGATATCCCTTTATCATTTTTTTATTGGGTCGATTTGATTCCTCTCTCTTTTCTTATTAGTCTAGCTAGCATTCTATTTTGCTAATTTTTTCAAAAAACCCATCTCCTAGATTCATTGATTTTTTGGAGGAATTTTCGTTTCTCTATCTCCCTCAATTCTGCTCTGATCTTAGTTATTTCTTGTCTTCTGCTAGCTTTTGGATTAGTTTTCTCTTGCTTCTATAGCTCTTTTAATTGTGATGTTAGGGTATCAATTTGAGATCTTTCTAGCTTTACGTTGTGGACATTTAGTGCTATAAATTTCCCTCTTAACACTGTTTTAGCTGTGTCCCAGAGATTCTGGTATGTTGTCTCTGTTTTCATTGGTTTCAAATAACTTCTTGATTTCTGCCTTAATTTCATTATTTACCCAGGAGTCATTCAGGAGGAGGTTGTTAAATTTCTAAGTAATTTTGTGGTTTTGAGTGAGTTTCTTAATCTTGAGTTCTAATTTGATTGCACTGTGGTCAGAGAGACTGTTTGTTGTGATTTCAGTTCTTTTGCACTTGCTGAGGAGTGTTTTATTTCCAATTATATGGTCAATTTTAGAATGAATGCCATGTGGCACTGAGAAGAATATAAATTCTGTTGATTTGGTGTGGAGATTCTGTAGATGTCTATTAGGTCCACTTGATGAAGAGCTGAGATCAAGTCCTAAATGTCCTTGTTAATTTTCTGCCTCATTGATCTGCCTAATATTGACAGTAGGGTGTTAAAGTCTCCCACATTTATTGTGTGGGAGTCTAAGTCTCTTTGTAGGTCTCTAAGAACTTGTTTTATGAATCTGAGTGCTCATGTATTGGGTGCATATTATTTCGGATGGTTAGCTTTTCTTGTTGAAGTGATCCCTTTATCATTATGTAATACCCTTCTTTGTCTTTTTTGATCTTTGTAGGTTTAAAGTCTGCTTTGTCAGAGACTAGGATTGCAACTGCTGCTTTCTTTTGCTTTCCATTTGCTTTGGTAAATATTCCTCCATCCCTTTATTTTGAGCTTATGCATGTCTTTGCACATTAGACGGGTCCCCTGAATACAGAACACCAATGGGTCTTGATTCTTTATCCAATTTGCCAGTTTGTGTCTTTTAATTAGGGCATTTAGCCCATTTACATTTAAGGTTAGCTTTGTTATGTGAATTTGATTCTACCATCATGATGCCAGCTGGTAATTTTGCACACTAGTTATGCAGTTTCTTCATAGAGTCATTGGTCTTTATATTTTGGTGTGTTTTTGCAGTGGCTGGTACCAGTTTTTCCTTTCCATATTTATTTTTTCCTTCAGGAGCTCTTGCAAGGCAGGCCTGGAAGTGACAAAATCCCTCAGCATTTCCTTGTCTGAAAAAAATGTTTTTATCCTTTATTTATGAAGCTCAGTTTGGCTGGATATGAAATTCTGGGTTGAAAATTATTTTCTTTAAGAATGCTGAATATTGGCCCCAATCTCCTCTGGCTTGTAGGGTTTCTGCTGAAAGGTCCACTGTTAGTCTGACAGGCTTCCCTTTGTAGGTGACCTGGCCTTTATTTCTGGCTGCCCTTAACATTTTTTCCTTCATTTTGACCTTGGAGAGTCTGATGATTCTGTGTCTTGGGGTTGATCTTCTCGTGGAGTATCTTAATGGTGTTCTTTGTTTTTCCTGAATTTGCATGTTGGCCTGTCTTGCTAGGTTGGGGAAGTTCTCTTGGATAATATCCTGAAGTGTGTTTTCCAACTTGGTTCCATTCTCCCTATCTACTTCAGGTACTCCACTCGTTCTGTTTAGTAGTCCCATATGTCTCAGAGTTTTTGTTCATTCCCTTTCATTGTTTTCTCTAATCTTGTCTGCATGCCTTATTTCAGCAAGTTGGCCTTCAAACTCTGATATTTCCCCTTGGTTGATTCAGCTATTGATACTTGTGTATGCTTCACAAAATTCTCGTGCTGTGTTTTTCAGCTCCATCAGGTCACTTATGTTCCCCTGTAAACTGGTTATTCTAGTTAGCAACTCCTCTAACTTTTTATCAAGGTTCTTGGTTTATTTGCATTGGATTAGAACATGCTCCTAAGCCTCTGGCTGGAGTTGTTGGAGTTCCTGCAGGCAGGCCCTGCCCAGTGAGGAAGGATGAATCAAGGTCAGGTCTGAGGAGATGCTCTGGCCACAGCCAGTGTGTTGGGCTCTGGGGGAACACCTCTTGGGACCAAGACATCCACTCTCCCTGACTCCATCAGGGAAAAAGTGTGGCCTGGAGCTATAGAGATGGATACCACCCCTCCCCACGCCCAGCGAGCTTAGCATGTTACGCAGTTTTGAGTTGCAGTGCTGGCTGCTGTCCCTCTCACAAGGAGCTCAAAGGGCTCACACAGCAGGCAGCCACAGCTGTGGTATTTGTTGCCCCTCTCCCCGGGAATTCAGCAGGCTTAAGCAGATTCTAGCTGAGAGGCTGTTGAGAATCTGCATGGCTCTGGGATTGGGACCCTATCCCCTGGTGGCATGAGTTTGTGAGTGGGATCTTCCGATCCATGGGTTGCACAGTTCTGTGGAAAAAGCATGGTTTCCCCAGCTGGGTGGCACGCTCACTCACTGCCTCCCTTGGCTGGGGGGTGGAGGGTCCCCTGCCCCGTGTGGCTCTCAGGTGGGCCACCACACCATCCTGCTCTTCCTTCTTTGTGGATCACGCCAGCTGCCTAGTCAGTTCTGATGAGAGAACCTGGATACCTTCCTTGCCAGTGCAGGATTCACACACTAATTATGGTCTTTGCAATGGGAGCTTCTGATCATAGCTGCTTCTAGTTGGCCATCTTGGCCCTGCTACCCCAAAAGTGTTTTTTGAATGAGGTTGTCTTGTATCATTGAAGATGGTGACATTTTGAGGGCTCAGAGTGGGACCCCAACAGAATGAAAGGTTGAATATTTAGTAGTGGTGATAGCTTTATCAGCCTTGGTGAGATAAAATCCGTGTTATTGAACCTGTGCATAACCTGTGATAATAGTTCTCTGTTCATGAACATACAGCACAAGCACTATTATGATTAAAGGAGACTGGCTGACAACCATAGATAATTTATGCTGACACCTGATTGTTGACAATCTTATATGTAATGAATGTTTTCTGGTGAACAAATGCCTAAATACAAAGATCTGCACACTTTTAGCCTTCGCCCATAGGTATATCCACTTAATACTGCTTTAGACCTTCTTGTTCCCTATCTTCATTCCAGGTGCACAACCAATCTGTTAAGCCATTCATTCCACTTTCCTGGAGTCAATATATATCCATACATCACCTTTCCCTCCACAAAAAGTTGCCCATCAAATGTGTTGCTTGCCACACTCAGATAATTATTTCCCTTCCCCCATCATCCCTCAGGGCCACTCCTGAGTGGGATGTAATGAAACAGTCAATTTAAATATGAGTAAGTTCTCAGTATTGACCTTCTTCCACAGTTAGATGTAAGAAACCAATAGAACATCCTCCTATGAAGACCTAAGTGTGAGTTGAGGAAGAAGTATCAATACAACAAAGATATATGACAGATAACTTACTTATTCATGTAATTCACTTGTGCCTTCTGGACTTCCCTCAGCTAGTCCTTGAATGTATCATCTCCATCCTAAAATGAAGCTAATGCTCTAATAACTCTCAGTTTATAATGGGTAGCTCAGGCTGCATACTTTCTCAGTGTCACATGATCTAGTGCTTAATCTCTGTTAGGGCTCATTAACATGCAGACAGCTGTTATTCCAGTGAGTAGTAGTTTACTCCACATGTCCTGCTTCAGTGACCTAACGGCCTGAATTACCTCTTTCTCAGTTGTAGGAACTGTGAGATGCAAGAAGTTCCCCTTTTCCTTACAGGGGATATCCCAACCTGTCTCAGGCCACTGGATCCCTAAAAAATGACCTGCAGTCTCCCAAATCAGCATAGGATTTATCTCCTGCCTTCGGGAACACATCTCTTACTAGGACTTTTAAGGTTGTTGCCACTTTCTTCTCCCCAAGTCTAATTAGCACAATGTTGTCAATACAGTAGACCATCATGATATTCTATGGCATTTCAAAATAATAAAAACGCCTGCACAGTATCTTATGAGGGGCCAGGAGCTTCAGACTAATCTTGAAGAAAGACATTAAAAGGGTATTATTGCTGCCCTCACCACTTAAAAATAAATTCCTCATACCAAATGCCAGAGGTTGTAATTGAGCTGCTCTAGTAAAGACACCACATCTCATAGCAACTGCAATTGGATTTGCCACCTGTATAAGTTCATGATAATCCATCAACATCCACCATCCCCAACTAGGTAGTAGCAGAAATCAAACAGGTGAATTAAATGGGGCTATTATTGGAACTATCAGCCTTCCTTCTTTTAAGTGTTTGATATTGGCAATAACCTCTACAATTCCTTTCTAGCTGTAGTATTTCTTTGAATTTTTTGTCTAATGGGATGGAGGGGCAGTTTTAGGAACTTCTGCTTTCGCTTTCTACCATAATAGCACTTACTCTATAGGTCAGAGAACCAATGTGAAAGATTCTGACATTTTAATAAAAAACTGCTGACTTCCCAATTAACTATTTGAGATTCAAGAATAATGTCTTGTGATGAACCCAAACACCCACTGAACCAACTATAAAAGAATTTGGCCTAAATTTCATTTATTATCTGGCCCTTACAAACTCCCACTCTACTCAGAGACTCATAATGGATTTTTAGTTCCCTGGGTATCAGTATCATGTCAGACATATGTCTTAGAAAGTCTGGAAAGCTCTCACAGAAAGCACAGTACCCTAGAAATTGTCCAAAAGTCTGCCTGGGGGAATATTATAGAAATATTTACTGTATAAACTTACAGTGTTTTTGAGAGTCTTCCTTTCAATCAAGGAGCTGTTTCAATGAATTGGCAGATCAGGAACCAGGGTAAGGAACTATGATTTTCCCTCCTAAAAGCTGGTGTCAGCTTGTCCACTAGTCAGATTTTTTTTGTTTTTATTATTATACAAATCAACCCCCCTGGCTCAATTGTACAGGCTATCTGTCCGTCTGTGTTTCCCTGACAGCCATGGCTCTAGATCTCTATGAATTGAGGCATCCTTATTGCTACTCCGGCTTTGCTGTCCATCTCAGCAACTGCATCCACCTTGTCAGGGCTAGTTACATGTTGCCATCTGGCCCAGGCCATTTCAAACTGTGTCTCCTCATTGAAATCTGGAATCCCAACTCCATGGTGACATCTCCCTGCAGTGACAACTACTAAAGTGCTACTCAAGATGCATTCTTTATTACCACAGTGAAGGCAGTGTCTTTGGGTCCTCCCTGGGAACATAAGTGGGTGATAATTTCTCAGTTACATTTACTATGTCAATCCATTCAAACATTCCCAATTCCGTCTGACATCTAACTTCTTTAATATTATGTTGAATATTCTGAAATCTCTACCTCATTTCTCATAAATCTTTATTATATCTAATGTTTAAGGAGTCAATAGAGCAAACTAGTATAAAGAGCTTCAACTATGCTTGCCAGGATGTTGAACCATTACTGGGGGTAAGCGCCCTGTGAGTTCTTCCCATCTAAACTTATATTTCATCTCTTTGAATAAACATGCTCAAATCCACTTCTGTACATATGTCATCAGTTCCTGACAGTAATATGTACCAGATCCTACCACTCTTTTGAGGGATACACTCTTTGTTCCCAGAACTGTGTTTCTTACTGACTTGGAAGCAAGGAGAGTAAATTGGGATAAGTCTTAAGGAAAACAAACGTAAACTTGCCTCGGATATGGGCATTTCATGGTAATCAGATACAGGGGAACTGTTCTCCTTTAGCAGGGGGAAGCTGGGTTTTTCTACCAGCCAGAGGGCTCAGTGGAATGTGGAGATTCAAGAATCTCAGGTTGATAAACTAATGAACCCACTTCATATTTCAGGTTTCCACTCTCTCCAATCAGAGGCTGCGCATTCAAGCTCCTTTTGCAGCTCTCCCACCATTATGATCAAATCCTAAGCCTCATTTTTAGTGTAGAATATCTTGTGCATTAAGGGATAAGAACCTTTTTAAGATATGCATCTGAGAACTTTGGCTTTGAAAACATGCTTTAATTTGGCCTCCAGGGCTGTCAAAACTAGCCGTTCAAATGACAGTCATGTAAATTATCATTGCTCCTGCTCATCATTGATAAAGTCTATTAAGAATTTGATTTCTTAATGCTCTGTCTTCCACCAGCACCTCAATTCGATTAATGATAGGTGAAACTTGTAATAATCATGTACATCATAGTTTTTTTTTTAACCACTCTGCTTTTTACAAGCCATGAGGCCCTATTGCCTTCAGTTAGACGAGCAATCTAATCTCAAATCCCCATCCTAAAGGTCCGTTTAACACACATAGGTAACAAATGCATTAGCCCAGGTTTCCTAGAAAATAGACTCTGAAATAAAGTTTGGATGTGAATACTTTCTTGGAGGATCATAATCCCAGGAGAATGAGAATATCACAGAAGAAAGGAAAGCAAACACAAGGGAATGTGTTACCATACCAATTTGGCCACAGCTTTAACTGTAAACAAATGTGGTTACTCAGACCTTAATTTATCTGCCAGCTGCCCCTGAAATCCTCTCTCTCTTTGGTCAAATTTTACCCACAGGAAATTACCTCTCCTAAAGTTTTAGGTTGTTTTACCCATAATCTCCAGACAGCTGCTGAGACACCCACGGCATCTGTAGGCACTGCCTGGACTCCTTCTGCAGAGGGTGTTTTGGAGGCTGTATTACTGCGTTTTCACACTGCTATAAAGATACTGCTTGAGACTGGGTAATTTATAAATAAAAGAGTTTTAATTGACTCACAGTTCTGCATGGCTGGGGAGCCCTCAGAAAACTCAGAATCACGGCAGAAGGGAAAGCAGACACCTTCTTCACAAGGCAAAAGGAGAGAGGATAAGCGTTAATGAGGAAGTGCCACACTTTAAAACCATCAGCTCTCTGGTCGGGTGCGGTGGCTCATGCTTGTAATCCCAAACACTTTGGGAGGCCGAGGTGGGCGGATTGCCTGAGCTCAGGAGTTCGCGACCAGCCTGGGCAACACAGTGAAACCTCGTCTCTACTAAAATACAAAAAATTAGCTGGGCATGGAGGCGTGCGCCTGTAGTCCCAGCTACTCGGGAGGCTGAGGCAGGAGAATCCCTTGAACCCGGGAGGCGGAGCTTGCAGTGAGCCGAGATCAGGCCACTGTACTCCAGCCTGGGTGACAGAGTGAGACTCTGTCTCAAAACAACAACAACAACAACAACAACAAAAACCATCAGCTGTCATGAGAACTCACTCACTACCATGAGAACAGCACGAGGGAAACCCCCCTCCACGATCTAATCACCTCCCTTCCTCAACACTGGGGGATTACAATTCGAGATGAGATTTTGGTGGGGACACAGAGCCAAACCATATCAAAGGCTTTGTTAAAGTCTGGACTTTGTCAGTAGAAGACAACCAGAGGTGTCAGAATCTATGATAAGTTAAAAGGTGATGACCAGGCTTTGTGAACAAGGAAATGGCTTTGCTCACATTGACACTCACATTGCAGTCACTGGAGACACTCAGTTTGGAATGCAGGAGACATGGCCAAGGCCAGAGAGGTTGATGGGGCCATATGAATCTGGGCAAGGACATAAACTAAGTTGCGTCAAAGAGCCATCATTTGGTAAATCTCTCTAAGGCAGCATCTTAGTGACTTGAAAACTGGGCTCTTCACAGAGGCATGATGACTTGAAAACGCTAGAGAAGAACTAGAAGTTCCAGGACCTAATATATAATAAAGAAAGTAATTCACCAAAGACCTGAAGTAGCAACATAACAGGGAACAATATTCAATAAATGGAAAAGTTACAGAAATCTGCCCAAATTGAAAGTTAGGCCATTATTAAAAAGTCTTTGACACATCTACTTCATATGAAGAAAGCAAAAGGCACAAGTAGGATGAAATGATAGTTTTCTAGAGGCAAACTGGAAACATGAGAAGTTTATTGACAAATTACAAGGTTATTTTTTATTTTTTGAAAATAGTCTCTTTTTTGTCTTTTGAGGTTCTGGGTCTTTACAAGAAAGTAATTTCTTTTGTTGAATTGCCCTTTCCTAGGGACTAATATACATCTTATCCCTCAAAAAATATTTTCTTTTACTATGATCTTATTCCTGATAGCAATAACTTACTGTTCAGACTCTCTCCTGAAATACATTTGGCAAGAAAGAAACATCAGTTTCCTTAGCCAAAAAGAAAAAAAGTAACAACATATCTAGTCTGTCAATCACCTTGTATAGTATGGCGTACACAGAAATATTATATTACATATAAGATTGCTTTGATAGACATTTCAGCACTTATTACATGTTTAGTGAAGTAGGTTGTAAAATTCTTGGGTATATTGTGAGCAGAGCAAGGGGGGTAAACAGGAGTAGACTTGGGTATAAAATAAAAGAAGAAAATGAAGCAGATTGTCAGCTTTAGGAAATAAATGGTGAACATACTGTTGTTTTAGACGTTTTAGTCAAACGACTAGTCCAATTAGTTTTTTTCTCTACTCTTTTTCTTTCCTGAATATATGCCTACTTTTTATTAAAGTAATGCATTCTCATGATTTATACTAAAATAGCACCAATGAACTTAAAATAAAAAGCAGAAAGCCCCTGTCTGCCACTCCCATCTGCAAACCTACTTGTAAAAACAACTACTTTTATGTCTTCTGGTGAATGTCTTCTTGTGTCTAACTAGTATGCCTCTAAGACATTTATGCAAGTTCATTAATTTTGACAGTATCTACTGCTGCTATGATAGATGTTATAGTGCATGTGCACTAAAACCACCTCCATCTACATACCCAATTCCTAAGTTTCATAGTTATTTTAGTATTTTTAGTTTGTCTGTTTATTTATGTAACTTAAAATAATATACCCAATGTTTCTTGTTCCATTGATATTTGATCGTTTCTCTCAACTGCCATTTTCTGATTGCTACCGTCCCTCTACCCCAACTCTCTGCCTCACCTACACATCCTAACTTCTCTCTTCTATACCTTTATGTTTACATTGTCAAGACATCTTGGTAGTGTTCCTCCAGATAATCCTCACTTACAGAATTTAGGGCCCTACAAAAAAAAATAAGCAACTTTACTAGAACTCTTTTTCTTTTTTTGTTCCCCAAGGTTCAGAAGCTTTAAAGTAGATTTTGTTACTTAACATAGCATAGTCTTAATACAGATGCCATTGTGTGAAATGTAAGCACAGGAATGGCTTTTGGCTACACGCTTTAGAAATGCCAATCAGTTTTTGGCTGTAGGAGAACCAGTTGTAAGCCTAATGCCTCTTTGACTACTGGTGGCTGGTTAGCATATAAGCACATGGCTGTCTTCAATTATTTTAGGCTGCTTACACCAACCAATTAAGAAGAGCCCTCTCTTCAGGACAGCTTGATGTAACAAGACAAGTATTTGGTCTATTCTGCAGTGATTGGCACCTCTGATGGAATTCCTTCAAAGCTGTGAAATGGAACTCAGCTATTTGATAACTTATGGGTCTCTGGAAAAAACTCATTTCCTCTCTGCCATCAGTTTAAGTATTACTCTACCAGGAATAGTAAGAAACAACAAAGCTTAATGCCCCTCTTTGTTTGGGGATCCTCATTTTCTCTTCTCCGTTATGGCTTGCAAGTTAAGAGAGATAAAATTAAAGCTTGTTTTAGTTCTTATCCTACTCAGCGGGTCTGAGTCTCTGTAAAAGTTACATTCCAAGTTCCACCTTTGGTACTAGTAAATTAATCTGTATTTAGACTAAGATAGTAATATTTACATTCTGTCCTATAATATCGGTGAAATCATCTGAGGGTTACCTAAATGTTGATTATAAAAGTTGAAAGACCAAAGACAGTATTTCTATTAATATGAGTATATAAATATTGTTCATCACAGATCCAACTGGAAGTCTGTGATTTCCACTCCTTCTCTATGTTCGCAATGTATAAACCCATCACAACTCAAACAAAAGTATTTTTAGCATTGAATTAGATAGAATCTCCTTTACTCCATTTCCTCAATTGCTCAAGTCATGCCACTTTTTTGTTTTGTTTTGTTTTTTTGAGATGGAGTCTCACTCTTGTTGCCCAGGCTGCTCTCAGCTCACTGCAACCTCTGCCTCCCAGGTTCAGGCGATTCTCGTGCCTCAGCCTCCTGAGTAGCTGGGATTACAGGCATGTCCCACCATGCCCAGCTAATTTTTTTTGTATTTTTAGTAAAGAAGGGGTTTCACCATGTTGGTCAGGCTGGCCTGGAACTCCTGACTTCAGGTGATCCACCTATCTCGGCCTCCCAAAGTGCTGTAATTACAGCTGTGAGCCACTGCGCCCAGCCCATGCCACTCTTTAATTTGCTTTTTGGGGAGACAATTACTTTCTTGTACATTTTGTTTGGCATTTACTAAAATATTTCATAGCCTTTTTTGTTTATTTGTTATGAAGAAATATAAGCCACTTATACTATACCTATAATATGTTTCAGCTTTGTATTCAGCCTATCTTCTAGTATTCTTTCTGAAGATACTCCTCTTAGCAACCGCCAATTTCCTTCTCTATGTAGAGTTGGTGTTATTATTGGGATCCTTAGTTATTCTTACCATTTCTTGTATACTCTGTCTTCCTATTTTTTTAATCTGCATTTTCTGGAGTTCATGCACAAGAAATAGCTTCAGAAAAAGTTGTTTGTGGCCAGGCACCATGGCTCACACCTGTAATCTCTGCACTTTGGGAAGCCAAGGTGTGCAGATCACTTGAGGCCAGGATTTCTAGACTAGCCTGGACAACATGGTGAGACCCCATCTCTATTAAAAATACAAAGAATTAGCTGGGCATAGTGGCACACAGCTATGGTCCTAGGTAATTGGGAGGCTGAGGCGGAAGGATTGCTTGAGCCTCGGGAGCAGAGGTTGCAGTGAGCAGAGATTGCACCACTGCACTCTAGCCTGGGTGACAAAGTGAGTGAGACCCTGTCACAAAAAAAGAAAAAAAAAATGTGTGTAAACAGGAAGGCCGACTGGGAGCTCTGTGTACTGTGTCAAGAGCACACAGAGCACCAGCCTTTCCCCTACTTCACTCCCAATGTTGAAATGAGAAAGCTTTATTATTGAGCATTGACATCCACCTAGATGGAATAGGCATCCCCAGATACTTCCTTTACTTTCTCTAGAGAAGAAGAGTTCATTATTCCCGTGAAAGTAAATGCATTCCTGGCTGCTTCTCTTTTGAAAAGAGAGACAATTACAAGGTAGTAAATTTGGAAGGAGGGGTGATGTAAATCTTTTTCCTACCAACCTTCAATTGATGCCTCCTTTTTCAATTCCACTTCTTACTCTGGGTCTCTGTTATATGTGCTATCTCTGAGTTCAGGGCTCTGAGGTCTGGAGCCTGAGGGGAGATCAACTTCTGTAGCTACTCACTCCCTCCATGCATAATCTAGGGTATTTATCATACTATTCTGTTTCCTCATTCTATCAATTTTTATTCCACTTACATATTTGAGATATTTGATACAATCTGTCATTACTGATATTTATTGTTTTGTTACCATTTTTACTGTTCTCATTGTTTTTGATGATACTTTATTTATGAATTTATTATTACTTTCGTTCTCAAGAGGGAGAAAGGCTGACCAGTGCTCAGCTGTCTTAAACCTGAATTCCACCTATCCTACTAAAGCAACACAATCAGATTAGTTGTGAATTTTATTAGCTACTAGCTAAATTGATTGGTTAATCAGTCAGTAATTGACCCATAAAGAATGAAGAGACAGAAAACAAGTTATTAAAATGAATAGGGAGAAATAAAGAATTTTTTCTAGTTAACAAAATATTTTTATTAATATCTAGTCAACATAGCCTCTCTGAATTTTCTATATTATTTTATTTAAAAATCTTTTGGGGAGGAATTTCTTCAGGTATATTTGTTCCTACCTGCTGTGGGCTCAATACCCAGCACTTTCAATCTGATCATAAGTTGTATGAATTTTTTTATACCTATTATAGTTAAGAACTAATTTTATAACTTTGATTCTCTATTAAAATTCTATGATTTCTCATTAATGTCAAAATATGTCCTTTTACACTTCAGGAAATGTCACTAATTTTAGGGGAAATTGATATGCAGTTACAGGACAGTAAAAAGATACGTTATCTTCTGGGTTGGTTTGCATGTACAATTTCAATCACACTGGTTTCTGAGAGGCCAATCATTTGTAATTTAGAAGAGATTGTAGTGTTGCAGCCTTTTGCAGGCTCCATTTCTCTTACTTTTGAGAGTGCTTATCTACTTGATAAAAAGAATAAGAAGAAAAAGAAAAGAAAAACGTATTTTCTGTCGTGTTTCTTATATTCAAATGAGCAGATAATGCCGTTTGATTTTTTTTTTTCTTCTTTGGTGATGAAAGTCAGTCAAGGGTCTGGAAAAAGACTGTATCTAAGAGAAAGTAGATTTTACTGTTTAAGAGCCCAGGACATAAGCTGTATTTTCCAAGCATCCAGCCAATGCAATCATAAGCAAATCTCCCTGGGGCTGCCAATTTAGTACTGTCTTATGTCTGGTGGCAATATCGTATGTTCAAAGACAAATGTGTCCCTGAAATTGGTCTGCAGTTTGGTTAGACATAAGGCTGGCAGATAACTTTCTATTTCTATTTCTTCTTCCTTTTCTTTCCTTCCTTCCTTTCTTCCTTCCTCCCTTCCTTTCTCTATTCTTCCTTTCTTGTTTCCTTTTTTCTTTTATCGGTGACAGGAAAATCATTTTGGACAAAACCCAGCTGTGGCCTGTATTTGATGTTGTGCTCAAGTTACGGGGGTTTGGTTACAAACTCTTTATCCCCTTATCATGTTCCCTGACTTATCTACCTCTGCCGTCAGTCCAAGTCATTACTATCTTAATTAATTGGGCTGGAGCTCCCTCCCTGCATCATTCCAGAGAAGAGAATTCAAGAAAAGAGGAGTAGAAGTAGATAAAATTGGTTACAAGTTCTTAGAGTCCAGTAGAGCTGAGTCTATTATTTGAGGTCCTCAAAAACAAAACAACAACAATAACAACAGAAAAAAAATACTTAGGAGATTTTAGTTCTTTTTGTTTTTTTCCTCTTCCCATAAAACTAAACCACAGAAGATGATTATAGTCATCAATAAACAGTTTCCCTCGAAACCTTTTTGAAAAATGAGATTGGGAAAAAAATAGTTTAAAATAGGAGGACAGGGGAAGTTAGGAAAGAAGAAGATGTGGAGAATAAGGATTATGGGGATTATCCTGGATTATCTTCACTGCCACTACTTTATCTTTACCATTACCATTTTACCTCCCAGCCAAGATCAGAAGTGCTACAGAGGTATCTTTATAGATGTAGATTATAAAATTTATATTGTAATATATTATAATTAATCAGTATATGTATAATATATATTATATATATAATGTTTTTCTCTGTAACTAATAGGGTGGTAGATAAGGTGTTAGTTTAAACTACTAGGCATGTATAAAGACTATGAGAATGCAGAAAATAAAAAAGCTACTATTAATATTAAATAAGAACTATATATGAAGACAAGAAACCCAGAAAAGAAAAGATGAGTAAAAAGGAGAAATAGAGAAACGAAACCCTCATAACAGATAAAGAGTTTGTAAGCTGAGACATGTAGGCTGTTAGGATTATATTTTCATTACAGTTATCTTGAATGGAGCTGTTTTATAGATCATTTTCACCTCCGAATTTTGAGGAGTTCCCCTACCAACTAATCTACTCAGCTCAGTAAAATTCTTAAGTTAATGGCCATTGATGGGAGTAAGAGGGAGAAAACTCATTTTTCACTCATCATCAGATTTAAGAAGCCAAATGCCTTCCCCATCGCCTTCTGTTTCTTTTTTTGTTATGTAAAAATCCAGAGAGGTAGAGAAGAAAAAATAAAACTTGTTTCTAAAAGCCACTGCCCTTCACCTTTCTCCTGAGTTCATCTCTAAATAATCTTGGAAAAAATTCCCAGTTTTCAAAAAATATCTGGGAAACCTTAATTAAGTCTCTAAAATTCAAATCCAAAGTGAAGAGCAGCAGTATGCCTGTAAAACATTCAAATAAAGGCCTTAGAAAAAAAAAATCAAAATCTTCTGACACTATACATTTTTCACTAAAGGTCTGAAGCAAAGACCAGTACACCTTTCATAGATGCCTAGGATTGCTTGCTGTTTGTTACAAGTAAAGGTAGCACTCACATCCTGATGTCAACTCAATGAAAGCTAATTTCACAAACCCCTATAGAAATATAAAGATATTTTCATTTTAGGCTTATGAGGTCTAATTTTTTTTTTTTTTTTAAGACGGAGTCTTGGTCTTTCGCCCAGGCCAGACTGCAGTGGCGCTATCTCGGCTCATTGCAAGCTCCGCCTCCCGGGTTCCCGCCATTCTCCTGCCTCAGCCTCCCGAGTAGCTGGGACTACAGGCGCCCGCCACCGCGCCCGGCTAATTTTTCGTATTTTTAGTAGAGACGGGGTTTCACCGTGTTAGCCAAGATGGTCTCGATCTTCTGACCTACGAGGTCTATTTTTGCATGTATTGATATTCTATGTTTTAATATTTAATGATTTTTCTATTCTTTTTATTATTTCCCCATAGGGCAGACTTCTAGAGAAAATAACTCTTCTTAAGCATTTCACATTATTTCTACAGCTTTTCTACTCATCACTCTTCGTTAATTTCTGGGTAATCCTTGTCTTTAGATCAGTGACTCACACCTCTTGCTTTCGGCTAAAAAGATTAGAGTAGTTCCGTGGTTTTGCTACCTGTGAACTGAATCATATTTTTGTATTTCACCCACGTTTCTGTTTATATCTAAGCTCTGTGAAGCCTTATATCTACCGGATAACTACTTCACAAAATCTTTGCCAAAGGTATCTTATTAGAAACATTTAATCTGCCTTTTTTTATAGCTTCCTGTCATAATTTGTATATTTCTTATTATCTTGCAGATTAACACTAAGGTTTCTCTTGTCCCCTTTTTGTTTGGAATCAGACTAATTACCAGTCTCTGAAAACAAGCAGGAAAAACGGGTAGCATCTCAGCCAAACTGCAACTAAGAAACTGGAATGATACAATTAACGATGAGCTCATTTTTCTGTTTCTGAGCTCATTGTTAGGGTTAAGGTAGGTTTAGGGTTAGGGTAAGAAACTGGAATGAAACAATTAACAATGAGTTCATTATTCTGTTTCTGAGCTCATTGTTAATTGTATCATTCCAGTTTCTTACTTGGAGTTTGGCTGAGTTGTTAACGCATTTTTCCTGTTTGTCTTCAGAGTTTGGAAATTAGTCTGACTTCAAACAAAAGAGGGACAGGAGAAATCTTAGTGTTAATCTGCAAGACAATAAGAAATATACAAATTATGACCAGAAGCTATATTAAAACAAAACAAAACAAAACAAAACAAAACAAAACCTTCACTTTCCTGATCTTTCATGTAGCTACGGATGCCCATGCAACCCAGTTCCGACTAATTAGATGCAAGTAGATGTTCTCTGGATCAAGCATCTAGCAAAGATTGTCAGACCAGAGAGACTCAACCCTCCCTTTGACTCTTTGCCCTTCTTCTTCCTGCCAAGAGCAAAGATTCAATGCCTAGAGATTCATCAGCCGTTTTGTGATCAAGAAGATGAAATCCACAAACTAAGGAAGCCAGAACAGGAGCCGCTACACTAGCTCTGGGATTCTTATCTCTGGGATTTGTTACAGGAGAAAAACTAGAGCCCTTATTTATTTAAGCCATTGAATGTAGAATTTTCTATCACTTACAACACATTTCCTACTGTAGGAAACAAAATAATTATCAGCATTTCAAATGACATAACAAAAATCCTGCCTGAGTTTGTTTCAATGAGGGAGACATGTAAAAAAATTTTTTTTTTCTGAAGAACTTTAGTAACCAGAAACAAGTCAGAGTTTGCTGTTGTATAAAGCACCCAGCTTTCTTTGGAACATACAATTCCCTGAGTTGAAGCAACATTTCTGAACCTGTCAAAGCAATCTTTCTTTACCTTCAAGGCATTCAGTCTACCTAGTGTAGTAGATAATTAAAACACATTTTTATCCAGACTTACAGGGTGGATAAGCTCACCTTTTAGCTTTTTATACCTCTCTAGAGCCCTCTGATGTGGCAATCATATATCTGAATAGCCTTCTGGATAAGGCAGAGGAGCTCCTGGGAAAATGTCAAACCTTCTCAAAAGACGAATTATTTCATTTTTAAGGACAAATAATGGGTGCTTTAAATCTCTGTAATTTCTTATTTCCAATTAATAGCAAATTACAGGGGCCATTTCTCTAAAATCTGACATTATTCCTCAGTTTGACAGCTTTCTTCTTCTTAAACAATAATAGCTGTTTACTAATTTTTCTTCACTGGGAGAGAGGTTTTCTCCCACCAATCCCCCTCCAACAAAAGAAATTCTAGTTCAGTCACACGTTATCACTGTGAGCACATTACTGTACCAAACATTTCAGACTATCTTTTTGTTATTTGTGTTAACTGACATGACATAACTAAAAACTTCTGTCATCCTGTTGGTACAAAAGTAAAGCTCTTTCAAATTTCTATGAAATTTCAACAATATAACTGTGTTATCTATACTGGTTTTTACACTTTTTCTTTTTCCTTTTTTTTTTTTTTTTTGCTAGAAGTTGAACCTCCAAAAGAAATCTTACGTTTTTTAAAAAAATATGGATCCAGCCTCCATCTCACTAAGAATAACCTGTTTCACTCATATAAAATACAATCTTTAACAGGAAGTATGTCTTCGTGATCTCCTTACCTAGATAAGTCTCTCCAGAGTTTAAACCGGGAGCTACTTTGAGAAGCTGACTGAGCTCCTGGATACTCTAAAAACAGTAGTTTTAGCAGACGTTGCACTTGGGGATAATTCAGACCTTGTTTGTGTTATACATTTTAAAAGTATAAAGCTTACCAGTAATTGAATGCCATAATAGGACGTGAAGTAGAACTTGACTAAAGTTTACCTTTAATTCATTAGCATTTCTTTACAGTGAAGGTGAGTTGTTTAAATAAAAGTAAGGGGTTGTATGAAAATAAGATATTTTCAAATACTCTAATGCATTAGAAAGTAGGTATGTGCGATTAACATGCTATTTACAAAACATGTCTTATCTAGTCACTAAAACAAGTTCCCTGAGGACCTGGTCAGGAAAGGATTTGTTTCATTCATTCAATCTATATCATTGAAACTAATGCATGTTATTCTATGTCACTTTTTTATTTCCACTATTTATAAGAGTAACCTCCTACATCTCCTCCACTCTACTTAACTCAGTTAATAGGGTTTACTAGTTTTACTAAACTGCTTGCAGTTTGGGATCATTAAATGAAACATTAGGTGGAAGCATACATTTATTTATTTACTTTTACCTGATATCTTTGGATGTGACTATTCATTCTTCCCTTCACTGGATTGTCACATTTGCCCCTGCTATTCCTACTCTTGTCTTGTTCCTCTAGCACCCCATTATAATTCCCTCTGTGCTCTGTTGCCTTCTTAGAACCATGTTTCTAACATTCCTTAAACCTACTAAAAATACTGCCCATATCTCAGGCTCTATAGAATACATTTCCAACTCCTTCAGTTAGAAATCTTGACCCTTCCCCATTTGATTCCAACCTACATTTACACTTCTGGTTTTCTGCATGGAACTTTTTTCTTTTTGCATTCTGCTCCAAGTCTTTATTCACAATTTTCTCTTTCTTCTCAGCTTTCAAAATCCATGTTTTCTTTTTTAGATAAGAACACTTAGGACATCTTCCAATTAATTGCCCTGTACGTTCCTCCTCTTTGGAATCTTCTCTGCTCTCTTTGGATCAGAATTACAGCACTCACTTTTGAACTTCTATAACACTCATTGGGAAAAAATTAGTGTTATGAGTAGAAGTTTTATGATGAGACAGATTCAAGTCCTATCATCATTTAATGTGACCCTGGAAATTTTTTTTCTTCTCTAAAGTGGGAATAATTAAAACAACAACAACAATAATACAGCATACATTGAGACAGGAGAATTCCCTTGACCCTTTCATGAGGGAGAACTGGAGTGCACCAGCTCTAAGTCTAGCCAGCCACTTTGGTGCTGGCAGGGATGAACTTCACTCACTTGAACCCCCTGAGCTCAACCCCTTAAGGAAGGGAGCATGCAGGTGAGTGGGTACTGGGGCCGGGATCAGCACTTTTGGGCTGTGGCCCCATGGCAGCATCTAGTGGTATGTTAAAGTTAGTGCTCTTTTAGCTCTGCCATCCATGGATGGCTAAGTGTTAATAGGTCAGTGGAGGGTCAGGGTGACAGCCTTCTGCACCTGCCCCTTTGGCACCTGAGTTCTTATTCGACATCCAGGAAGAATAGGGTCCCATGAACAATTTGAAAGGTGATTAATGTGGAGGATTTTATTAAGCAGTGGAAGTGGCTGTCAGTGGAAGGGGAGCTGGAAAGGGGATGGTGTGGGAAGATCATCTTTCCCTAAAGCCCAGTCTTCTGTGGCTGGGCTCCTCTCTGAAATCATGCCAATTAAAGTTACGCCACATCTATCTGTAGTCTCCAACACTCAGTTGCGTCTTCTTCTCTTGATGTTCAGCTGCTTGTCTATTTGCTAGTTGAGGTCTGGGGTTTATATGGGCACACAATAAGGGGGTAAGGTGGCCAAAAAGGCAACATTTGGGTGGAAAAACAAGGATAACTGTTCTAATTTAGGGCCATGGTTTCCAGGCTCGAGGGTGGGGCCTTTGTCAGGGAAACTCCCTCTTTTACCCAGTATTTCCCTGCCTCCTGTCCATATCAACACAATGTTCTTAGAACAATATGTGACATAAGGTAAACAATAGGCTGGGTGCGGTGGCTCACGCCTATAATCCCAGCACTTTGGGAAGCCAAGGAGGGGTGGATCACCTGAGGTCAGGAGTTTGAGACCAGCCTGGCCAAAATGGTGAAACCCCTATCTGTACTAAAAATACAGAAAATTAGTCAGGCGTAGTGGTGGGTGCCCGTAATCCCACCTACTCGGGAGGCTGAGGCAGGATAATCGCTGGAACCCAGGAGGCAGAGGTTGCAGTGAGCTGAGATGGTGCCATTGCCCTCCAGCCTGGGCCACAAGAGCAAAACTCTGTCTCAAGAAAAAAAAAAAAAAAACATAGATAAAAAATAAATGTTCACTATTATTATTTGCAGTTATTATTTTTACTTCTCTCTCATGATTAAGGCATATTTATCTGTGGATAGCTCATCTCTCCAACTAGATGTTTCATTAACTGAGGTCAATTCCTTTTTCTTAAAATTTTTTGTGTCTCCAGTAGCACCTAGGAGGTACTTTGCTTACAGGTGTTCAGTAGGTGTTTGCTGATGGATTGAGATTATATGTATAGTGCCAAGAGTCATCAACGAAAGGTAGCACATCAGAGCTGGGTAAACAATGTTTTCATAAGTTTCTAATGAAGTGAAATTTTCTGGTTCTCACTACAAAAATCTCTGCAAAATGAAAGGCATCCATCCAAGGCAAGAAAATGATTATTTTTCAACCAAATGCTCCAAGCTAAAGTTAAGTAGTTTAAAATAGTCAATGAAATGGGAAAGTATATTTAGAACTCATTTTATTTTACTATCTCATCTTGTCTATCAAAAGTATGTTTACCAAAAACTACTTAATATGCAGATCTTATATAATAAGATCCACACCATATTGCTGGATATATAAAATAGGCAAATAGCAATACTCTAAAATAGGCCATAAAAAAGAATACTAATAAATCAGAGCATTTCAAATTGTAATTTCTTTGTGCATGTAGTAAGTATCATCTTGGGTCCACAGGTCAGAATAAATAGTAATACTTTATGGTAGATAAATTAGGAAGAAATAAGAAACACTTTGGACAAGAAATGTTGCTATGGAAACCTTAGTGTTCACAAGCTGCTTTTGAAGCATCTGCTGCTTTGCCAGACTTTTTGAGTTTAACTTTCTTTCAAGCTTTTTATTTAAGAAAAATAAAAAAGTCCTTTTACTACTAAGACTTACAATATGACAATGACAATATTCTCTCTATCCCTCTAAGATCCATGTTAATAACTTGTCTTATGAACTACTTCATAGCATAAATACAACTTAATTAGGGTTGAAAAGAGGGTGGAGGTAAAGCAGTGCATTCAGGCTTGATTTGAATTTACTTCCACAGTGAGGTTATAGGAGGGGGGCTGGAGCCGGGACTCACTTTACTGATGCAATTTTAGTGCCAGGTCACAGAGCTGACAAAGATGGTTTTTTTAAACACAAGTTAAAAGCCATTTTAAAATGTTTCATTTTTATTGACACAGAGCTGTCTGAAACCCCAAAGTTAGTGTTCCTGGAGACAGAAAAGCGGGTGTGTTTGCTGAATTCACAAATAAATCAGAAGTGTCAGAACTTAGACTAGAAACTTTTGGCTCTGAACTTTGTAAATTTTATTTACTTTATTCCCCAAGCAACTTAAATGTAAAGCAGCCACCTACGTGTCTGGTAAGCTGAGACTTAATGAGGCTTAATCGACTTCTGTATTGCGAGTCTTATCTGCTTCCTTCAGTTTGTGCCTTTGCTCCTCTCACTCTCTGCCCACACACTCAGTGGCAATTGTCTGTTAGGAATGATTTTTCTGTCACTTGGGTCACCATGGTTGAGCTTCAAGATAGACAACTTGGCCAGATTCAGAGGAAGTAGTCACTGTTTGAACAGGATTCCTTGATGAACAACCTGCCGGATTGTAGATGAGACCTTTGACTTGTTTGTATCTGGTGCTTGCCATGGTCTCCTAGAATTATTGTTTAAGCCACCATGCTCCCTGTTTATCCTTCCCCAGTGGCTGAAAAATAGAACCCTAGTGAATATAAATGGGCAACAACAACTACAGGGACTTTCAACGGAAACAATTTTTCTTTAGAATGAATCATTTCCTATTTATAACAATTTGTAAATACAAAGGGCTTTGTATTCATTGAGATGTTGTTATTATCTGTGAGTATATTACATAAGGGTATAAGGGGCTCCCATGCCATTTTTAGTAATAGATCCCAAATTTGAATGTAACAAAGAGCAATAGCTTGATGCCTCTCTATACTTACCAAGAGGAAACAAAATGAAAATGAGAACATAAAAGCCTGCATCTTTTTATTGGATTCTTAGCCATAACTGACTCTAAAGTCTTACTTCAAATCTTCTAAAACATGCCTCTTAAAAACTCCCCTGAGAAAATGCTCTGACTTTCTTTGCACTAATGAACAGCTCATCTGTTTCTATAAAACAAAATAGGAGTTATCCAATAAATTGAATTTAATACATCTGTAGTGATGGATTGCCATATTGCCAAGTTTTATGGATTATCATTCACTTTAAAGAACTGCACTTGAATATTTTGCTGCACATATTGGTTCATTTCATCCCTAAGAAGTTTCACATCATTTCTTTGCCTGACAATGATACCTTAGTTGGTATTTCTATTAGAAATTGGATGCATCATTTAGATCTACAATGCTTTTTCTAAAAATCTAATTGGCTCTAAATGTAAACTCACTTTTATTGTTTAGAATGAAGGGACAGTTCATAATGTTCTAGCAGAACTGCCTCAAGGAAAGGCTAAGTTTAGAGAATTAGTCATCTGAGGATTTTTTAGTTCCTACTAGTTGATATGCCTTCAAGTTAGTTAGCATCTACCATAGGTAAAGAATGATGCATACTTTCAGATATAGAATTGCAAGTTGGGGACAAATGATGAAAACCACTTAAATAGATGATACTAGTCCACATTTTTATATTGAACATAACAATCAGCCACTGCCTACTTTTTCTTACTAAATGTGTAAAACTAACAGGTTCTATTTGATGGTTTGTCTTGCTTTCCTCTTTCTAGATCACCTCAAGATATGTTCATGGTCTCTGGTTCTGTTTTCTCAGTTTGCATTCAGTTGTTATTTAAATGCTAGGTGTTAACACCTTACAGGATGGTAACACCTTACACTTCTCTGCCACTTAATTTCAGTGAGAAAGATTTTATCTGGATCTGTTTCTACCATGTGAATTTACCCACTGTCACTCCTAATTCACTTAAGATCATTTAATTGATCATTTCTTAAAGGAGTATTCTTAAACTATAGACAAAATAGGGCAAATCAAAATTTAAACACAAGTTTATGTACTAGCTGAAAGTTGGGATTTATTTTAAAATACATAGATGGAAGTGATATTCTTAGGACTTGGGTTTATTTTTGATCCTGAATCAACCCAATCACCTAACTCTCAATCATAAAATAAGTACACTGAATCAGATCAAATGTAGTGTATACAATGTACCTTCTATTGCAAATGTGCTCAGAATAAAGAAAAAGCGCAGCAATCAATTAACACTGCTATGGACCCTGCATGAAAATGTAAGGGTATGAAACCCATGTATTTCTCATCTCTGGATTGCACATTCTCTAAAGGCTGCTTCAGCCACATCACTGTAGTTACCAAGTTGTTTAATAAGAGTATCATGTCTAAATCTTGGTTTTCAAAAGAAAAATTTTGAGTAGTCTATACTGCCTAAAAGATAGGCAGTATGTGTTATAAAGCTTTGCAGCAACCAATGATGGTAAAAATAAAATTATCTCATCAGCATTCAAATATTAATTTATAATATTTTGGTTTATCAATTCTTTAGAAATATATGAATTACAGACTGATGGAGTAATTCAGGGACCGACGAATATAAAAAATAAATAATATGCTTTCTTGCCCTTGTTTAAGAGACTCATTACTTGTCATAACAACTTTGTGGACCTTTAGAAATTATTAATACAATTTTGTAAATAGAGAATCTGAAAATCAAGGGAAGCTTAAGTGAGTGATCTACCCAAGTAGCAGAGTCTAAACTTGATCATGGGTCGGTCAACTCCAATAAACTGAATAATCAGGGACATAACTTTTCCAAATAACAACCAATACTTTTTCTATTTTATTTTATTTTAAGTTCCAGGATACATGTGCAGGATGTGCAGGTTTGTTACATAGGTAAACATGTGCCACTGTGGTTTGCTACACCTATGAACCCCTCACCTAGGTATTAAGCCCAGCATGCATTAGCTATTTATCCTGATGCTCTCCCTCCCCCTACCCCTCCAACAGGCCCTACTCTGTGTTGTTCCTCTCCCTGTGTTCATATGTTTTCATTGTTTTGCTACCATTTATAAGTGAGAACATGAGGTATTTGGTTTTCTGTTCCTGCACTAGTTTGCTGAGGATAATGGCTCCCAGCTCCATCCATGTCCCTGAAAAGGACATGATCTCGTTCCTTTTTATGGCTGCTTAGCATTCCATGTTGTATATGCACCACACTTTCTTAAACCAGTCTATCATTTGTGGGCATTTGGGTTGGTTCCATGTCTTTGCTATTATAAATAGTGCTGCAGTAAACATATGTGTGCATGTGTCTTTATAGCTGAATGATTTATATTCCTTTGGGTATGTATTCAGTAATGGGATTGCTGGGTCGAATGGTATTTCTGGTTCTAGGACTTTGAAGAATCACCACACTGTTTTCTATAATGAACAATCCAAATTTTAAAAATCTCACTTTTCTCCTAATTATACATATTCCCCTCCTCTAAGAAAAGCCAGTCATATTTATTGCATATACTTAATACAATAAATGTGAGATATTTTAAAATTTGCAATATACTATAAAATACAAATTGTTCTAAGACTGCTTCTTAAAATGTGTGACCATCTTTTACATTACTTAGTGTTATTAGTTTTCTGCTAAAACAAAAATAATGATAAGGATTTAATGTTTCCAAGTATATATTTTCTCTAAAAATGAAAGAAAAGTGATGGAGCTTCTCAAACACAATCATGTATTCACAATTTATATATTTTGCTTAACGACAGAGATGGGTTCTGAGGAATGCATCCTTAGGCAATTTTACTGTTGTGCAAACACCATAGAGTGTATTTACATGAACCTAAATGTTATAGCCTACTATACACTTAGGCTACACAGTATAGCCTGCTGTTCCTAGGCTACAAACCTGTACAGCATGTTACTTTACTGAATACTACAGGGGATTGTAACACAATTACAAGTATTTGTGTATCAAAAGAGAAAAGTTTTGGTATACAGTATTAAAATCTTATGAGACCATTATTATATATGTGGTGTGTCATTGACTAAAACATTTTTAGGTGGCACATGCATGTATATGAATTCTAACAGGGTGACAGTTCAGGAAAATACATTAGCTTGAAGGTAAAACATGTTAGGCCAATATGACAATATTTAACTACAGTTTGTTTAACCAGAGGTACCTATGTGAATTACATTTCAACCAGAAACTCATATCTTGGAGTATAGCCTCATTAACGCTTCATAAGAGAATTCTTGAAATTGCACTTGATAAGCAATCTAGGGAGGTCCCATAAGGTAGTAAATTGCTGTAACACTTTACAAATAGGCAAGAGTGGTTTGACCCTGGTGCTATTATATGACTATTTTATGTCAACAAACTTGGGAAATAAGAAAAAGGATAGATTTGACACATACTCTCTCCTCTGCATGGTTTCATTCAACCTACATGACATCAACTTCTATATCTTCTGGAAAATCCCAGGGATGTACTGAATTTCATAAAAATTAAAGTATAGCATCTAATGAAAGCATTCTTAAAGATACAGCCACATATTAGTCCTCAAGGAAATAAACAGGGCCAATTAAAAATTACTTTCTTTGCTTTTCAGAAGCTTTTGGTCTGGCTAAAGGGTCTAATTCCTTGCTGCTTTTATGCCATATTTGAGTTCATTTGTTTTTTATTTTCCACATTTCCCATGGCCCCAATTGACTTGCCACTATTTAAACTCCCTCTCAATGGGCTATTTAATGTTTTTTGCTGAATTGGAGCAAATAATATTTTGGTTTCTTTTATTCCAGAGGAAGGCAATTTTGATCCCATAAGCAATTCTCTAAATTTCTTACTTTGGTCTGCGATACTTTGGTGGTAGTTGTATTATGTGGTCTTTTATTATTATTTGAGACTATAAACATGAGTCTGGGCAACACTCTGTGAGTTACAATCTTATACTGTGTCTCTTCTTTTTCCAGAGAAAGAAACTTTGATCCCATAAGTAATTCTCTAAATTTCTTACTTTGGTCTGGGAATTGCTACACTTTGGTGGTAGTTGTACTATGAGGTCTGTGATTATTATTTGAGACTATAAACGTGAGTCTGGGCAACATTCTGTGAATTATAATTTTATTGTGTCTCTTCTTAAGTTGATGTGCTTAAGCGAGTCATTAGGTTTCTATCAATAGCTTTCATTTAGTCACACACATATAAGAAAACTGAAGGAGTGAGCAAAATGATAATAACACTAACGAAGATATGATGACAATTTTGAAGAACAGGCAGGGCAATGACTCTTCTACCAAAGGGAAATGGGGGTCTGAAAAGAATCAGGAAGGGAGTAAAGGAGGACAGGTAAGTCCAAGAAGCAGAAAGTAAGTTTAGGAACATGGTCATATGATGAGCTACTTGAAGCACACTGAGAAAGAAATTCAACCTTATTTTTTTTATTTCTATCACACTTAGATGCACATAGTTTAAAATTTAAATGGAATGAATTTGGCTGTTAAGGCAACAAAAGCAATTTTTTTAAAAAACCTCTGCAGTTCTGATTCAACCTTCTAAAATCTTCGGAGGAAGCCATTTTCAAGTTATGTAGATGACTTTTTTCTAAATGGTATATTTTCCATTCTTATAAACATCAATGCTTTTGGTTTTGTTTCTTCATTTATAAATTTTAGATTCTATCTATTGATGTCTTCTGGTAGGAGATGATTTAATTTTCATGAATTACCTTCTCTTTCCCTACTTCATTATACTTAAAGAAATAACCTTTGACTGGAGTGATAGAATTTTCGTTATCCAAACTGTATATATACATTGTCACCAACTAATTTATTATGATTATGCTTTTGTGTTTCATACGATTTTTATTTTGCTTTTTTAAAGTTAATAACATATTATACTTTCTTTATACTCTCAAAAGAATGAGGAAAAATCAAATATCCATCATGTGGTAAATGGATAATCATACTGTGATAAATCCATAAATTAGAATATTACTTAGCAATAAAAGGAAACAAAGGGAAAAAATGGAATAAACTACCAATATATGTAACAACATAGATTAATCACAAATGCATTAAGCTAAGTAAAAATAGCCAGACCTGAAAAGCTACATACTATATCATTTCATTTATATTACACTAGGGAAAAGGCAAAACTGTGGAGCCAACACAGATCAGTGGTTGCTAGGGACTGAGAGTGAGAGACGGAGTGGCTATCAGGATAAAGAGAAAATTCAAGATTATAGATCTTGTGATGGTTATATGAATGTATGTATTTTCAACACAGGCAGCTCTGAATACTAAAATAATTAAATTCTAATGAACATAAATTATACCTTAATTTAAAATGAAAAAAGCTTAAAAATAATATATTCATTTGTTGCATAATTTTCCATGTGCTTAATGTTTTTTCTTAACACCCTGATATATTCGTCAAACAGCAAGCCTGGGCAACATAGCAAGACCTCATTTCTTTTCCTCAACATTCAATACATTCGATAATCTATCAATTAGTTTTATTCCTGGAGTTCTCCCTCATCCTGCCCTCAATCTTGCTACTCTTTTATGGACTGATTGCTCCTCATTCCTGATACTTAATTGTTGTCATGGGAATTCTGTCCATCAGTATCCTGGGGTGGATACCTTATTTTGGGTTCTGCTGCCTTCCTCTTCAATGCTGACTGCTTCTTTTTACCAAAGCACAGTTACTTACTAAACAAGGATACAGCTCTCATTATCTTTGATATAAAATGTATTTACATTTACATATACATGTAAAACTCTAAGTTTGGATAAATCAGAAAAATTTGAATAGGAGACCCATAATCTGAGGCCACAAAATAATTGGCCACAGCAGTTGCCCCAGCGGCTCACAAAGGGTTTTCCGACATGTCTCAGAGAGTATCATATTCATCAAGAGGAATGGAGAGGCAGGCTGGTGAAAGGGGCTTATTCTCATAACCCACGACTGAATCAAATCATGAAAAATTGTCAAAGATCTATAGGGAAATAAGTCAGATCCTGCAAAATGATTTATCTGTTCCTATGCCTTTGGCCTCTAGTGGAGAGCCTTGTTCTGCTTTATGAGAACTACACTTAAGTCCCTCAGGCCCTTGCCTTTCTTATTCCTTCCCTCAGCTTACAGTGCCTTGCCCTGTAACACTCCCTTCTTCTCTACCTTCTGGAAAGCTTTCTCTTCCTTAAGGCCCCGTTCATTATTTCCTTTCATTATCAGACAAAATTAATTCCTGGTTTCCCTGTCCTCTCATGCCACCTTCTTAATAACTGTGTACCCAGCATACATTTTAAAACACAATCTAGACGTAGAGACATTTAATTTTCTGTCTCAAATAAAATATTTAATTTTCTTTCCCTTTAGTAAGAGGGAAAAGCAAACAAACAAAAACAAAATCAAAACCTTACTCTCACCCTTTCAAGATAACTGAGTCGCTTTCTTTTCAAAACTTAATTTCCTGGCTAAGTGCAGTGGTTCACACCTGTAATCCAACAATTTGGGAGGCTGAGGCAGGATGATTGCTTGATGCCAGGAGTTTGAAACCAGCCTGGGAAACATAGCAAGACCCCATTTACAAAAAAATACAAAAACTAGCTAGGTGTGGTGCTGCACACCCGTAGTCCCAGCTACTCTGGTGACTGACCTGGGAGGATCACTTGAGCCTAGGAGGTCAAGGCTGCAGTGAACTATGATTGTGCCATTATACTCCAGCCTGGGCAACAGAGTGAGACCCTGTCTCAAAGAAATGAAAAAAAAAAAAAACAAAAAAAAAACCTTTAATTTTCTGCATTTAACTCACTGTCATTTAGATATGCCGTAAGTATTTCATGGTTTTTTCCTCCTCCCAACACCCCTCTCCCTGCCACGGTGTGGGAAGCTCAGGTTCTACTCTTTACCATTCTCTGTGTGAAATTCAACTGACTTCTCTACCTCTGTGGGCCTCAATATTGGACTCTATACTATGAGGAAGTTAACTAAAAGATTTTGAAAGCATCTTCATGAATGAAAAATGTAAGCTTCTCAACAAACATATTGACTATAATATTGACTATACATTGGAGAAATCAACACTTAACTTCCTTAATTATACAGACTAGGACAATTTTAGACAACCCATTAGCCTTCTTAAACTTCCTTTGGCTGATATGTATGCAATGGAATTTCCATCCATTTTCAAAGAACTACATATAACTTCTCAAACAGGCTTTCAAATCCACCACTATGTTTCTTTGCCTTCCTCCACTAACCTTGGAAGTGACTCCAATCTTCTCTAGGACCTTACAGTAAAATTCCTACCCCTATCTATGGATAAAATGCTCTTATTAATTAGGCCTCTAACTTCATCTCCAAACTGCCAGATGCTACATACATGTCATCTCCATGCTCCAGTCGCAATTGCCTCTTTCTCACACTTGTACTCACTTCAATGATGTGTCTCACCTGCCTCTTAACTTCCCTTTTCATTCTCTTCGTCTTAGATTAAAGATGAACTCCTTAGAGACGCCTCCCCTAACCACACTATCTAAAGTATATTATCTGGAGGCAGGCATGGTTCACGCCTGTAATCCCAGCACTCTGTGAGGCCAAGGAAGGAGGATCGCTTGAGCAAAGGAGTTCGCTACCAGCCTAGGAAACATGTTGAGACCCCATCTCTACAAAGAATCTTAAAAATTAGCCAGGTTTGGGTGCACATTCCTGCCGTCCCAGCTCCTCAGGAAGCTAAGTGGGGAGAATCACTTGAGCCCAGGAGGTCAAGGCTGCAGTGGGCTGTGATTGCGCCACTGCATTCCAGCCTCGGTGGCAGAGCGAGACTCTGTCTCCAAAAATAAATAAATACGTAGGCTGGGTGCGGTGGCTCACGCCTGTAATCCCAGCACTTTGGGAGGCCTAGGCGGGCGGATCACGAGATCAGGAGATGGAGACCATCCTGGCTAATACGGTGAAACCCCCGTCTCTACTAAAAATATAAAAAATTAGTCGGGCGTGGTGGCGGGCACCTGTAGTCCCAGCTACTCGAGAGGCTGAAGCAGAACGGCGCGAACCCAGGAGGCGGAGGTGGCAAGTGAGCCGCGATCGTGCCACAGCACTCCAGCCTGGGCGACGGAGCGAGACTCCGTCTCAAAAAAATAAATAAATAAATAAATAAATAAATAAATAAATTCATAATATATCATCTCTGGTGTTCTCTTCAATTGCACCTATTTTATTTGCTTCATAAGACTTTAAACAATCTCTCATCTTCTCTAGGATACCAGTTTCGTAAGGGCAGGGATCTGAACTCTAGTTCATTGCCTGGCAAATATTTTTGAATAAGCAAATGAATAAGCCTCAAAATACATATTTTTAAAATACATATACAATTGTAGGAATTTTTCTCTATACTTATCTTGGCTTCAGTAGAAACAAATATCTGGAAAATTGTGAAACTGATGCTAGCATCGATAATACCTGTCAGAAACACAACCAAGATTTCTTACGGTGGGAGCGAGTTTTAGGAATCCCATCCTTGAGGATATAAAGAGAGTAGATTTGTCAAGACTTTAAGGAAAATAATGGAAAGGAGACAGCAGTGCATGAAAAGATATGTCACATTTTTTGTTTTACTTTTTGCTGGAAAAAATGCTGTTATTCTTGGGGCTAAGACATCTGTGGAGTAAATGGCTTCAGCATTTTACTTTGTGACCTTTGTTTTCTATTTAGCATCATTATTATCCTAGTTGAAACTGCATTGATCACTTGGTTTACTTTTGCATTTATTCATTTTTCCGTATATTTAATAAATATATAGCTAGCTTTTATGTGGAATATACAGCAGATTGAATTAACTACTATATCAATTCTTTTTAGTGTAACTTCCTACACTTC
This sequence comes from Homo sapiens, assembly GCF_000001405.40. Classification (NCBI taxonomy): domain Eukaryota; kingdom Metazoa; phylum Chordata; class Mammalia; order Primates; family Hominidae; genus Homo; species Homo sapiens. Next base: position 49,855,309 of record NC_000002.12, read on the forward strand.
TGAGGCTAGAAATAAAAAACATAAAATGTTTAGGCTGGCTTGTAGTTACATTTCTACATTTGATTTAGGTTCTGCTAAAAACACACTCATGAAAGATTTGGGAGAGCAGAATAACTAATCAGAGACAGTAGTCCTGAGCAAGAAAATCAGATACTCTGTCAAATACACTAATGGAAGCATTTAGTTATTCTATGACATCTGTGGTAGTGGGTCTGCAATCCAACTCCCGGCATCATCAGTGCCAAGCACCTGAAAGAATCAATAGTTTAGGAATTTCTCAGTATTATATAGTTCTAGGTAGGCTCTTAGACATCTAACATTTCTAAGGCATGATGTGAGAATTAAAAATGAGCTTGCAGATATTTTGGAGGTTTCCTACAGCTCAGATTGCTGCAAACTCCTAAGCTTCTTAAACATCCCATCAGCAAACAGAGTCTCTCCTTAGTTTTTTAATGTGATTGGATTTGTTTGCTTGCAGACCCCACATTCTCAGCTGAAAATAATTATTGTGCAAGGGCATATCAATTTCCTTCATTTCTCAGCTACATCCTTTTTTTTTTTTTTTTTTTTTTTGAAGTGGAGTCTCGCTCTGTTGCCCAGGCTGGAGTACAGTGGTATGATCTCGGCTCACTGCAACCTCTGCCTCCCGGGTTCAGGTGATTCTCCTGCTTCAGCCTCCTGAGTAGCTGGGATTACAGGTGCGTGCCACCACACTCTGCTAATTTTTGTATTTTTAGTAGAGACAGGGTTTCAGCATGTTGGTCAGGCTGGTCTCAAACTCCTGACCTTGTGATCCACCTCTTCGGCTTTCAAAAGTGCTGGAATTACAGCCATGAGCTACCGCACCTGCCCATTCTCTTTATTGTCATCATATTTATAATTATATATATAACTGGCATATCTCAGGTAATGTCAAACTCAGGAGAAGCCTGACACACCAAAAGAATTGCAGGTTTTGCCAATTCATATTGGCAGTAACTTAGGTAACGTGAGTGAGAACAGACTCTGAGGCAACATAAATTTAAGTCAGACTGGGCATATTGATATGAGTGTACTTTGCAGGGACTGTGGATTCATGTGGATTCATGGAACCATCTAGGGATGGTTCAATTTGCTTTGTTCAATGGAGGCAATCTGGCAGCAACTGTGGCCTATTGCAACATTGAGATGATAGAAATTCCTTTCTATAAAATAAAGAGATCTAAAAATTCTGTTATAAATATTGACGTAGATTTATCATATATAGTTCAATTGCCTAACCTCTATGTCCCTAATAAGACATAGAGGCCTCTTCCTTAATGAACCACAGGAACCGTGTAGTAAATTTATGAGGCAAGTGCCAGCATTTTTGTAGAGTTGTATGGGATTCCTCTGTAAGCCCAGATGAAGGTAGGGTTTTGCAATTGAGATGGGATTCCTGATTTCAGTGAGAACAAATGGTTGCCAGTGTGGTAGAGATCAAGCAACAACACGTAATTACTAGAAGCGGGGTAAGTAGTTACCATAGGCTGGGAGTGGCTCATATCTGTAATCCCAGCACTTTGGGAGGCTGAGACAGAAGGATTGCTTGAGGTCAGGAGTTCGAGACCAGCCTGAGCAAAAAAGTGAGACCCTGTCTCTACAAAAAAAATTAAAAAATTAGTCTGGCATGGTGGTGCATGCCTGTGTTCCCAGCTACATGGGAGGTTGAGGCAGGAGGATTGCTTGATTCCAGGAGGTCCAGGCTGCAGTGAACCATGTTCATACCACTGCACCCCAGCCTGGGTAACAGAGTGACAGCCTGTGTGGAAAAAAAAAAAAATGAAAAAGTGGTTACCATAGAAAGCAACAAGCAAGTGTGATAACTTTTTTAATAGAATAGGAATCTTTGATAAAAATTATGCAGTTCCAAAAACAAAAATATTCCTTTAACTCCTACTTAATCTGTGAATATGATAATAATAATCCAAGATCTAATGAACAGGGCCTTACTTTAGCCACCACAATGGAAACTCATGGTGGATTACTACCGTTCAGGACTGAGTCAGTCAATGTATGGGCTTAGAGACTAGGGCCATTTAATAAAGGTCAGAAACAATTGAGAAATATTTGTACAAAATCCATTATGAACATATACTGTAAATCTTCCTTGACTTCCTCCAAATGAACTGTTATCCTTTACCAGGTTAAATGTGAACTAGGACAATGGAATTATCCATCTATGGGAGTAGGGTTGGGCTGACTGATCACTGGGTCTGACCTAACACTAAGTCCAGAAAACAGATTTACCCTGTGTGTGGTCCATTAGTCATGGTGGGAAATTAGATGGTAAATAGATTTTTGACCTAATCATTGGGTCCATTAACCCAACCTGTGACTATTGTACCATTTCTGGATATTTAATTGGAATAGAAATGTTTGGCTAGTATTCCAGTATTGTCTTCCAGACCCAGAGAGCTGAAAGCCATTATGATACAAAAAATAAATAGAAGCCTTTGGAGCTTTTTCTTCCTATCGAAAATTTTAACCATAAGTGGTAGCTTATTCCTGATAAGCTTCAGAGATTAGTGCCACCAACAAATACTTGAAAGATGCAGCATGATTATCTTTAAAGCATCTCCATTTTAATTTGACTATTTGGCTTACGTAGAAAACAGATGATTCTTGGGGAATGACAGTACATGACTGCATGGCTGTTCATGTGGTGATTCTGATTGCAGCTGCTTTTCCAGATTTGATCTTAGTGCTGAAAAAAATCAACTCATTCCCCTGCACCTGGTATTCAGCTACTGATCCAGTAAATCCTAAGTCCTCTCTTTCAGTATGCAAAGAATATCAGAAGTAATTTACTTTCAACCAGCAGAATCAGAAGATTACCTTTACTATCTTGCCTCAAGTCTATGTCAATATTTAGCTTTGAATCTTAATTTAGCCACCAGGGATCTTGTTCATCTCACCATTCTCTAAGACATCCATCTTGTCTACTACATTGATTACATCACGCCGGTGGCAGCTGGGAAGCATATTAGCAGCTATCGAGAGACCTTGGTAGAAAACATGCATACCAGAAAGTTGGGGGATAAAACCTCCCCCACATTCAGAAATCTGTCACTTCAGTAAAGCTTTGGGAAACCAAATGACTAGGAGTATGTAGGGATAGCCTCTCTGAAGTGAAAGACAAGTTGCCACAATTTTCCTCCTCATCACTAAAAAGGGACCCAACATTTAGTGGGTTTCTTTAGACTTTAGAGGCAATATTGCCACAGGTTTGGGGTGCTATTCTTAACAACTTGCCAGATAACCTAAGGTTGGTGTCTTTAAATAGGGCCCAGTTTCTAAAGAAAGAAGGTCTGCCATTTGGCTCCTAAGGTTCACAGGGTTTGTAGAAGATCCAGATGCTATATGAAATGTATGGTTAAGTCAGGCAGAAAAATCATGAAGCTTTTAGAGTTTTGGAGAAAAGCCATACTCCTTAATCAAATAACATTTCTGCTTTTGATTAACAGTCCCTATGATGCCCCTAGATTTTGAAAAAGACTAGTTATCTGACCATTACATACAAAGGAAACTGAAACCTGAGTTTCCCCTCATGGCCTAGATGTTATCTGATTGACCATCATTTGAAGGGAGGCATGCCTGGTGGTAGTCTATCATTTTGCAAAGATATAAATGAGATTTGGAATGAGCAGGTCCTGGGGAGACAAGAAACATCATGTTAGCCGATGGCTAACATCCCTAGTGCATCTACTTTTCACCCTCGACTCACACCCAAGAGATTTGTCATCTGATGCTTCAAAAAATGAGGGAAGTGTTTAAGTTTTTCACTTAATTGGGATGGCTCACAGGTTTAAAAATAAGAGTGGTGCTAAGGAAGTTGAATGTGGCAGGATTGGAGAGAATGGGAGGCAAATAGTGAAGAATGAAAAGTTAGCGGACATTAGAATATGAAGCAGCTTATCACACATGATAAAAAATGTTGTCGTTATTTAGAAGGAATGGTAAGGCAGTGGAAGACTTTTTAATCTGTGGGTGAGCAGCATGTTATAAACTCGCTTCCCTTTTTTATAAAAGATCATTCTTGCTGCAGTGTGGAGACTGGATTAGAAGGGGCAAGTTAGATATGTGATGAAACTGTTTTAGTAACCTGGTGGAGAGATAAGAAAGTCCTGGGTACGCATTGTTGCATTGGAATAGGGAAAAGTGGATTTCTTCTAAAAATATTTAGGGGAAAGGATTAATCAGACTTGAGGATTGAGTGGATAGGAGAAATGACAGGGAGAAACAGTAGGTAGGTCTGACTTCTGATGTGGGTAAAATCTGTGGAGGGTGATAACATTCTATGATATATAGATTACAGTTAGAGGAGCAGAATTTTGCTTGTGAATATGGAAAAGGGGGACAAGTTGAGAGAAATAATGTGTCCAGTCTTGTATATTGTGATGAGGTGTCAATAGAATGTTGAAGTCAAGATACTTAGTAATCAGTTGGAGACACTGAGGCCTGACAGGCTTAGGATGAAGAGATGTATTGAAGTCATTGACATACATAAACTGATAAAACCATGAAAATGAATGAGGTAGTACAGAAAGAGTGAGAGTAAACTAAGAAGACCTAGAAGAGAACTTTAATCAGTTACAGAGCCTATTAGGTTCATGTTTCTAAACCACTCATTGAGACGCATTACTACCAAAAGCAGAGCTGACAGTTGTCTTTCACTAAAGATTTCTAAAATGTCTAAAATTTAAAAAGGCTAAATAAAATATGCATACTTCATGTAATGTGTCAATACCATTGGAACCTCTCTTTTGCTGCCTACCCAACACAATGAGAAAGGAATTTTTGCTTTATTGAATGTGGTTTTAAAAATTAGTTTAAAAGGTGCACGAGAGATGTTCTAACTAGACTGAGCAGGTTAAAACCAATCAAGAGAGCTAAAAGAAATCATGGAAAGTTTTGTACTTAGCATGCATAGCTGCAGAATCAGGTTGGCAGTATTTCCTCATAAACAACCGCTTTACCTCACTATTCTGGGCATTTTTATCTTACTCTCTGGAGGACTATCTTGTATGAATGTCAATCTGAAGATTTCACAGCTGCTGCAGAGAACCCTTTCTGAGTGTAATAATGCCAATACATAGTATTCTTATGAAGTCTCCTGCAATATCTACCTGACTGTGCCTTGTCAAAACAGCAGAAGGAAATGTGTTAGCTGTGCTGTTTTTCTGTTACCACAAAATCAAAATTAGTAGCTCATATAATAACACACAAAAAAAGTACTGTGGCTAGGAATATGTGTCTCTTGCTATATTCAGCTTGAATTTGACATCAGTCTCTTCTACTTAAAATGGCTTTTTGTCATCCTGGTGTCTATCTTCCAGATTTTTATTAAGTTTGAATGTCTGTGTTTTTCAATTAAAAACTTACCATATTTCAGAAATACCATTAGATTGTTTAGATTTTTCTACCATACTTTTTTCAGAACTAAATAATTCTAGTTATTTGTTTAATTCAAAAACTACCTCAATAAAAACAAGATTATATCAAATATTCTTTAAAATAGGACCTAACATATGGTAAATATCAAACAAATAATTGTTCATAAAGCATCTGATGAGTTCACTACAAAAGTATAGTTTCCTCATTTCTCACGTATTATATTAGGAAAATTCCAACATACCCTGTGATGAAGTTATGTAAAAATAGACACTCTCATAAGCAGCTGGTGAAAATGATCCATGGTACAGCCCTTCTGGATGAGAAATGGCAGGTGAGTGTTTTAAGAAGGAAAAACTGACAGCCATTGGCAGGTTAAATTGTAGCAGAAGAACATTCTCAGCAGGAAAGCCAGAGAAAGGGCTCTTACAACAGTCTATGTAGGCATAAGAAAGTGGAAATGTTGTTTTTAGCGATGATCTTTTTTTGAAAAAAGATAGAAGTTGAATTTTGGAATAAAGAGAATGTAGATCAAGGCATAAGAGAAGGAGAAATTTGATGTCTCAGATACCTGGGTCTGAATGAGTTCTGCCATTTACTAGTTGCTTTTTTATGAACAAGTTAACGACTGTAAACCTCAGTTTGCTACTTCATTAAGCGAGGATGCTATGAACTATTTGACGATAGTTTTGTAAGACATCATGCCTAATGTAGAATGTAAATATGAGCAACTTTTCTTGCCTTTTGATGATTGTTTTCCAAATGAGACAAAGGAGGAAAGAGCCAAGGGGAGAAGAAGGAGAAGAAATTGACCCTAGAGACTCCAGCCCAAGACATAGAATTCCATTTACTGAAGCATGATGGGCACTTCTAGAAGCTTAATATGTGACATTCTTAGTACATCTGTGAGACTCTGGCCCTTTCAAACCAAATCAAAGCATCCTTTCAGTATTCTTGAAAATACAATTATTCTTCCATTTAGAAAGCTACCATGTACCATGTCAGCACAAAATACACAGTCACAGCAAGCTTTTCTCTGAGATTTCAGCATGGTGGAATGGCTTTTTATTTTTATCCATAAAAGTATGAAATGGTCTCTGTAAAAGTCACTGCTATAACTGACTGCACTACTGGAAGGCAAGCTACCTTTCAAATGGTTTTACTTGGACCGATTCCCAGTGATGTTCCTCAAAATGTACCATTGAGGAATCCACACCTAATAAGGACTTACTATGATGAAAAAGAACACAGACAGCTGGAAATCACTTTATTCTGAGTCGCTTACCTCAGCTCAGAGCACAGTGCTTTTGAAACAAGGCACATGCTTCTAACCACAGACTGCCAAGGGATTTTTGATTCAGGTCAGTGCTTGCTTTCCCCTTCACCTTATTAAGGAAAAAAGAAACAGAATTGGGAGGTTTCCATTTGTTTGCCACTAGGTGATTGGGCATCTTGCTGAGGGAAAAAGACTTGTGACTCTGCAACAATTATTCATTTGCCAAGGTTGCTGTAATTCTATGGGCTATTTCAGTTTCCCATAAATTTTCTATTTCTGAATGACTTTGTCCTCTAGAATGTATATTATTATGGCCACCATTCTTACTCTTAAATATGCACAAGGTATCGCTGTAGATGTATGTTCTTCAGTGAAAGCTGAAAATGGTCTATCCCTTAAAGCCTTACTGTCTTTCTTTTCTTTCTTTCTTTTTCTTTCTTTCTTTCTTTCTTTTTTCTCTTTCTTTCTTTCTCTTTCTTTCTCTCTCTCTCTTTCTTTCTTTCTCTCTCTCTCTCCCCTCCCTCCCTCCCTTCCTTCCTTCCTTTCTTTTCTAAGAGACAGACTCTTGCTATGTTGCCAAGGTTGGTCTCAAACACCTAGGATCCTCCCACCTCAGCCTTTAGAGTAGTGGGACTACAGGTGCACACCACAGTGTCTGGTTTCTTATTGATGTATATTACCATGCTGCATGACTGTGGTCTGTGTTCTAGACTTCTAATGAGTTATACAGTCCAATTCCACATTTCTGAAACATGATGGGAGGACATCTGCATCAGAACCATCAGAGTGCTTCTAAAAATGGAAATTCATAGACCTCACCCTAGCAATTTGCATTATAACCCCATTTCCACAAGATGAAACCATGCATCCAATGCTTGAAGAGACTTCCTCTTTAAATTAGGTTAAATTCCTTCTGAGCAAAGTCAACAATCTGTCTAAGTGAACCTCCAGAGGGCCGGAAGGACTTACCAGGGGTAGTTAGAAATGCTCTCTCAGTAACTGCAGACATTACATGTGTATGTACATGTAGGCTTCTATATTATTTAGGCCAGTCTGATCACTAGAAACATCCTTAACACTGATCCAGAATGCTGCTTTGACTTAAGTGGAAAATCTCATGGATACAAAAGGAATAACGTTCATGCCAAAGCCAATTTTCCTTTGGCTTTTAGCACTGATTGTGCTGATATGGTAAAAGGGACCAAGAATTCCACAAGAAGCAAATAAATCAGATTCTAATTATAACTCTTCTTGATAGACCAATTACACATAGATTTTCTTGGCCATTCATGTGTAACAGTCAGGAATGAGTATATCTTCACTGCCTTGCTTACCCTTAATTCCTATTAAAGACTGACACTGGAGATTCTCTAGCAAATTAGGAGTTAAGCACTGCAGCTTTTTCATCTACTTTCTCAATCAGTAAGTGAGGTAGACTGCTTAGTAACGTAGGGGCAGTGGCTGCAATTTTAGGTTTCTCACAAATATTTCAGACCTGTGTTGCCTAAAATGGTAGACACTAAGCACATATGGCTATTTACATTTAAAGTAATTAAACTCAAATAAGATAAAAAGAATTCAGTTCCTCAGTAGCACAGACATATTTTAAGTGCTCAGTGGCTACATGTAGATAGTGACTACTGTATTGGATAGCACAGATAAAACATCTCCATCATTGCAGAAAGTTGTTTTAGACAGCTCTGTGCTCACACGATTCTGTAAATCAATGTGAGTCTTCTTCAGGAAAATAATTGGAAGGTACAATAGGGAAAGAATTTATTTACTGTTTGTTTAATGAATTAACTCTAACAGGATAAGAGAGTGTGTCTTCAGCTAGTGTAGTAAGAGTTGGTCATCCCTAGAAGAGAGTAGGGCAGGAGAGGGTAGTACTTCATTCTGAAGAGCTCGGTATCAGGTATGTAAACAGAGCATCAAGAAGAATCACAAGGATCTCTTCTTATCCTTTTCTTTTGTGTAAAGACATCAGAGTACACAACTAAGAAAAGGAGATAGATATTAAACATTTATGCAACTTTGGGTCTCAGAATATATGAGAGCAAAGATGGATTTTTCAATTTACAATCACTTTTACTTCTCAATCTTTTCTTCTATTATTCCCCTGTGAAATTTCCACTCTCAGTTCTCCCAACTCACATCACTGTTTTCCTGTTTCTTAGCTTTTACTTGTGCTCTTTTCCTCTCTTAACATTCAATTTTTAACATTCACTGTCTCCTTCATTTCTTTCTTTAAAAGTTCAACCCATAAAAATCTATGCTCTTATATATTTAAAAATTAATTAATTTACTTGTTCAATGAACATTTACTTAAAACCTACTAAGTTTCATGACCTTATAAAAGACAATCCTTTCTGTCAAGAAGCCCATACACTGTTTTCTACTAGTGTAGGGAACAGAGAAATAAACAGCCAATTTGAATACTCTATTGTGTTTTACAATATATGATTCAAAGACTGTTATGAGTGAACAGAAGCTGGGGAAGCCAGAGCAGCTGCCCTGTCTAAATGATATTTCAGTTGAGTTTCAAAGGAAGGAATTAGAGGGAGAGAGATTGTCATGTACAAGTGCACCAAGGCATGCAGGAGCATGGCAACCTCGCTGATGCCCAGGCAGAAGTGGGTGGTCATGAAGTTAGAACAATGAACAACCAGAACATAAAGGGCTAATGAGTCTAGCTAAAGAGTGTGAGTTCAAATGAGAACACATGGACACAGGGAGGGGAACATTACACACCAGGGCCTGTCAGGGGGTGGGGGGCAAGGGTAGGGAGAGCATTAGGACAAATACCTAATGCATGCGGGGCTTAAAATCTAGATGACAGATTGATAGGTGCAGCAAAACACCATAGTACATGTATATCTAGGTAACAATTGCACATGTATCCCAGAACTTAAGGTGAAAAAAAAAGTGTGAGTTCAAAACTATGTTATATAATGTATCACACATACTGTAGTGCCATCTCAACTTAAAGTCATAAATTCAGAAAATCCTGAAATCTGGATGTTCTGCACTGATAGTTTTTCAGGAATCTATTTCCCATTATTTTAAATGTGCAAATCAATAAATTATTAGACATTAACCTCACACCTCACACCCCATTCCCAAAAACACATACGTATTTTACATACCTATACATAAGCGACTTTTATGCCTGTATAAATAGCATTTTATGATTTAAGATGTTTTCAATTTTGTTTCCTAATTACCAAGCAACAAATAAGGTCTCAAACAAACAATATTTTTCTTCTTTTTTTTTTTTTTTTTTTTTTTTTTTTTTTTTTTTGAGACGGAGTCTCGCTCTGTCGCCCAGGCCGGACTGCGGACTGCAGTGGCGCAATCTCGGCTCACTGCAAGCTCCGCTTCCCGGGTTCACGCCATTCTCCTGCCTCAGCCTCCCGAGTAGCTGGGACTACAGGCGCCCGCCACCGCGCCCGGCTAATTTTTTGTATTTTTAGTAGAGACGGGGTTTCACCTTGTTAGCCAGGATGGTCTCGATCTCCTGACCTCATGATCCACCCGCTTCGGCCTCCCAAAGTGCTGGGATTACAGGCGTGAGCCACCGCGCCCGGCCAAACAATATTTTTCAAAAAGTTTATGTGATTGTGACATTCTACTAGTCGTGTTGGAATGAAATTCAAGACCTTTTCCACAATTAGTTTTAGAAAAATGCTGTCTTGAGTTTTAGAAACAGAATGATAAATATTTTCTATATAAATACCAGCAGAAAACATTGTTTTAAAGATACACATGTTCTGTGAAGTCTAGATATTAAAAATCAAGAGAATTTCTTCCTGAAAAACACTGTCCCAGGAGATGTTCTATAGAGTGAAGCTGAATATACAAATGAATACATACTGTTTAAAGTAATGATGATGAAATTAACATCAGTGTAACCATCATCCAGCCCTCTACCATTTCCCTCTCCCTCTTCACTCTGAAGTAACCACTGTGCTGATACTTTGCAGTTTAACTAAATACTTATGCATCCCTAAATAATATGTTGTTTACTTTTATACATTTTGAACATTATAGAAATGAAAGCCTACTGTATGAATTACTATGCAGCATTAGACTTTGATGTTGAGGTGTGCAGTTGGGATACACTAATTTTTCACGATTATGCAAAACTATGCATTATATGTATAATTCAAAAGGTATATTTTCTGTTTTTCTTTTGTTTCTGCTTTGTTTGTTCCTCCAAATTATGTTGCTATAAACACGATTATCCATTCTCCTGGTGCATGTATGTGAAATTTTATTTTGCAATTATGACTTGAAGTAGAATGGTTAGACCATAATATATTTGCAGCACTGAATTTACTAGATCGTAATACATATTTTGTGGGTGAATGCAGTAGTTAATGCTCTTAAAAGCTGTGTATATAAATTACTGTTACTTCATATACTCACTAACTTGGGTTTTTTACCAATATTTTAACCTTTGTCAAATCTGTATTGCATATGGTATATGATTGAGATTTTTGTTTGTAATTCCATGACTATTAATGAGTTTGAATAACTTTTCATGTTTACTAACTATGACTCTTATGAGCTATTCTTCTACATGTTGTTTGCATATTTTTTCTATTTTTTGTTACAATTTTTAGGACTTTTTGTCAAATACATTTATTTTTTGAGGAATTTGAGGCTGTAAATTTCTAATTACTTTACATATATTCCACAAATTTCAATATGCAGTATTTTTTAACATTTACTTCCATATATGTTATAACATCCATTACATTATCTTCTTTGACCTATGTGTTCTTTTAGGGGTGTGTGTGTGTGTGTGTGTGTGTGTGACTGTATTTGATTTTTTAATATTTTAACATGAATTGTCTGTATCTCTAAACAATATATTTTTCAATGTTGTACTTACTTTTGGTGAGGATTCTGATTATTTATAAAAGGCAATGTATTTTCAAAGTAGTCAACATGGATTTGAACCGCAGTTCCATCACCAGTGTGACTTCGGGCGAGCTATTTTATTTCTGACATTCAGTTTATTCAGTTTAAATTGGGAATAATAGTAGTTTAGGCCTACCGCAGAGATACTGCAGGTTCATCCCCAGAGCATCAAAAGAAAGCAAATATTGCTAGAAAGTGACTCATACAAATTATTTGGTTTCCCAGTGCACATAAAAGTTATGTTTTCACAATACTGTGGTCTGCTAAGTGTGCAGTGGCAGAACGTCTGAAAAAAATACGTACAATACACATATCTTAATTTAAAAATACGTTATTGCTAAACAAATCCTAACAATCATTTGACCTTTCAGCAAGTTGTAATCATTTTTGCTGGTGGAGGGTCTTGCTTCAATGTTAATGACTGCTGACTGATCAGGGTGTTGGCTGCTGAAGGTGGAGGTGGCTGTGGCAATCTCTTAAAATAAGACAATAAAGTTTGCTGCATTGATTGAATCTTCCTTGCAGGAAAGATTTTTTTCTGTAGCATGCAATGCTGTTTGACAGCATTTTGTCCACAGCAGAACTTCTTTCAAAATTGGAGTCAATCTTCTCAAACCCTGCTGTTGCTTTATCAACTATGTTTATGTAATATTCTAAATCCATTTATGTCATTTCAACAATGTTTCTAGCATCTTCACCAGGAATAGATTCCATTTCAAGAAGCCACTTTCTGTGCACATCCATAAGAACCAACTCCTTATTTGTTCAAGTTTTGTCGTGAGATTGCTGAAATTCAATCACATCCTTGGGCTCCACTCCTAATTCTAGTTCTCTTGTTATCTCCACCACATCTGCAGTTATTTCCTCCACTGAAGTCTTCAAGCCCTCAAAGTCATCCATGAGGGTTGGAATCATCTTCTTCCAAACTCCTGTTAATGTTTATACTTTGACTTCCTCCCATGAATCACGAATGTTTTTAATGGCACCTAGAATGAAGAGTCCTTTCCAGAAGATTTTTGGTTTACTTTGCCCATATCCATAAGAACAATCATTATGTATGGCAGCTATAGCCTTATGAAATGTACATTTTAAAAATAATAAGACTTGAAAATCAAAATTACTCATTAATTCATGGGCTGCAGGATGGTTAGCAGACATGAAAACAACATTAATATCCTTGTACATCTCTATCAGAGTTCTTGGATGACTAGGTACATTGAGCAATAATATTTTAAAGGGTATTTTTTTTTAGCAGTAGGTCTCAACAGTGGCCTTAAAATAGTCAATAAACCATGCTGTAAACAATGCTGTCATCCAGGCTTTTATTGTTCCATTTATATAGCACAGGCAGAGTCTATACAGCATAATTCTTACGGACCCTAGAGCTCTGGAATGGTAAATGAGCATTGGCTTCAACTTAAAATCACCAGTGGCATTAACCCCTAACGACAGAGTCAGACTGTCTTTTGATCCTTTGAAGCCATGCATTGACATTTTCTCTCTAACTAGGAAATTCCCTGAAAGCATGTACATCCAACAGAGGCTGTTTGTCTACATTTAAAATCTATTGTTTAGTGCAGCCACTTCCATCAATTATTTTAAGTAGATCTTCTGGATTACTTGCTGCGGCTTCTGTATCTGCACTTGCTGCTTCACTTTGTATTTTTATGTTATGGAGATGGCTTCTTTCCTGAAACCTCATGAACCAACCTCTACTAGCTTCAAACTTTCCTTTTGCAACTCCCTTGCCTCTCTCAGCCTTCATAGAATGGAGGAGAGTTAGGACGTTGCTCTAACTTAGGCTTTGGCTTAAACCCTTTTATGCCTGAGTTTGTAATTTTTTTTGAATTTTTGCAATCAGACTTTGGTGATGACCTTGAGCAGTAGGATATAAATAATTCCCTCAGGCTTAGCATTCCAATAATGGAACACTAGGCATAAATGTCTAAGGGAATACTGTGGCTGATTTGATCTTGTATCTAGACTGCTAAAACTTTCTCCCTATCAGCAATAAGGCTGTTTCAATTTCTTATCATTTGCTCATTGGAGTAGCACTTTTAATTTCCTTCAAGAACTGTTCCTTTGCATTTACAACTTGGCTAACTGTTTGGCTCAAGAGGCCTAGATTGTGGCCTATCTAGGCTTTTGACATGCTTTCCTTGATAAGCTTAATCATGTCTAGCTTTTGATTTAAAGTGAGAGATGTGTGACTGTTACTTTCAGTTGAACATTTAGAAACTAAGGTAAAGTTATTAATTGGCCTAATTTCAACATTTTTGTGTTTCAGGGAATAGGGAAGCTGAAGGAGATGGAGATGAGAACTGCCCATCACTGGAGCAGTCAGAACACACACAACAGTTATTGATTAAGTTTGCCATCTTATAAGGGCACACTTTGTGGTGCTCCAAAACAATTATAAATGTAACGTCAGAGATCATTGATCATGGATCACTGTAACAGATACAACAAAAAAATTGAAATGTTGTGAGAGTTACCAAAATGTGACCCAGTCACAAAGTGAACACATGTTGTTGGAAAAATGGCACCAATAGACTTGGTCAATGCAGAATCACCACAAACCTTCAATTTGTAAAGAACAGTATCTGCAAAGTTCAAGAAAATGGCTTATGCCTGTACCTATCTCTTAGACAGCCTGGGAGGAGTAAATGAGATATGGGTAAAGAAGGCCTTAGAACTCTGTCTGGACAGCACAAGCAATGGATGAAAGCTGGCTGTTGCGTTGTTGATGATGCTATGTGAGAAAAACCACCCTCGAGGCTTCTTATAGCCTTTTGTTTATAATGTTTTCTGACTAACAGAAGTTCTACATTTGAATATTGTTTAATTTATTGGTCTTTTCTTTCGGCATGTGAACTTCTAAGTCCTGTTAAATTTCCTACTAAGACGTCATTAAGGTATTTTCCTAACTGTTTTTTTCTTTTTTTTTTTTTTTTTTGAAAAATATAAAACATTTAATTATGCAAAAATAGGTGATACATATAATAAAACTATAGCCAAAGAATTTGGGAAGGATTTGTGGGTGAGAGGGAACTTCAGCTGGGCCTTGAAACTGAGAGGATTTAGCTAGGCGAAGAGGTAGAGAGAAGTCATTCCAGACCTGAGTGAGGATGGCATTAGGTATGGGATCAGACAGGTGGACAACGAGGTGCCTGACTTCTCTTCCTAACTGTTTTTTTCTAACAGGTTTCATATTGCCTTTCACATTTAAGTTTCATCGGAAATTCGTTTCATGTAGGATGTGGCAAAGGAATCCAGTTTCTTTCCTTTTCAATAGATAACCTGTTGTTTCAGCATCACTTATTGAATTTGAATATTTCTCTCCTCTGAAAGGTGAGTTTGTCCCTTGTCATATATCAAATCTTAAGATATAAGATATAAATGTGTCTGTTTCTGGGTTCTCTATCCTGACCCATTGGGCTATTTATGGATCACTGCCAATACCACTTTACAACTTGCTATTTTACTTTGTGTGTTTGTTTGTGTATTATACCAGAAAATAAACCTTAATAGTTAGTTTACTCATCTTTTTTTTTATTCAATAGGGTCTTCACTAGTTTCAGTTGTTTTAAATATTTAGCATCTTTAAGTACTATTTTATATAATATTCTCTTATTACAATATTATTTAGTATTGTAATAAAATGTATTTTATATGTTCTGGAATTCTCTCTCAAATTCTATGAGATTTTGATACAAATTGTGTTCAATTAATGCTTGAAGTTTATTTTCTTTTAAATCTTTAAGCAACTGCACCTCCGCTTAAGTCACCTTTACTCTTTTGTTTTTAGTCTTTTGATTAAATTTTATTATTTTCTCCACAGAGATTATAATTATATTTTGTAGTATATTTTCTTAGGAACAAAATAAATATTATTATTGTAAATAATATTAACATCAAATTATATTTCAAATGCTTTCTTACTCATAAACAGAAATGCAATTAAGTTTTGATTATGCATCTCATGTCCAGCAACATTGTTACATCTTTTATTATGTTAACTCCCTTATGGAGTTTCTGAGATGTTCTATGTGGACTATTACTAAATAAGTTTCTTTCCAGCCCTTATGTATTATTCATTTATTTATTTATTATCATTATTATTATTATTATTTTGAGATGGAGTTTTGCTCTTGTTGCCCAGAGACTGGGGTCCAATGGTGCGATTTCAGCTCACTGCAACCTTTGTCTCCCAGGTTCAAGCGATTCTCCTGCCTCAGCCTCCTGAGTAGCTGAGATTACAGGCGCATGCCTCCACACCCGGCTCATTTTTGTATTTTTAGTAGAGACGGGGTTTCACCATGTTGGCCAGGCTGGTCTCAAACTCCTGACCTTAGGTGATCCACCCACCTCGGCCTCCCAAAGTTCTGGGATTACAGGCATAAGCCACTGCGCCTGGCCTATTTATTTATTTTTATTGCCTTTTTATCTTTATTTTTCTGAGTACAACTTTTAGTACACTATTAACCATGGGGACAGTAAGCATTTTTATTACACCTAATATTTAAAAATGTTTCTTATGTATTTGTTATGTATTTTTAAAATTATTTACCATGAAAATAATTCTTACTCTACATATGTTGAAATTACTTCTTATCAAGATAACAATTTTTATTCATAAAAGGATTTAATTTTTAATTGATTACATTTCTCTGTGCATTCAGAAAATTAATTTTTCTCTTTAATATATCCACACATTCATATAATCAATAGATTTTCTAATATTAAACTAAACAAATTCCTGGAATAAGCATATTTTGTTATATTATGATTTTCCTGCATGGTCTGAATTTCATATAACTTTTTTTAGGACTTTTTTGCATTCTCATTCTCTCCTTATCAAGGTTTTCACTTTTACTAGCACAAAGCTATTCATAATGTCCTCTTAATACATTGTTTTTCCAAAAATCTCTTTAGCATATGTAGTTCTGTTACCATTTTCACTTTAATATTCTTTGGTTTTTGTCCCCTCTCCCTCTTTTCTTATTTTCCCTATATATATTTTTAATTAATTTTAATAGCCCTATCAAAGAACCAACTTTTGGTTGAAGTTACGCTCTGTATTATAATTTTGCTTTTTGTCTTAATTATGTCTGCTCTTTATTTTTATTTTTACTTATGCTATGTGGTGATTTTTTTTTCTTTATCTAACTTCTTAAGATGAATGCTAAGTTGACTCAAAAGTTACTTAGAAATACATATATTTTAATTTCCAAGTGATTGAATTCATTTTATTCAATGATTTATTTTTTGAATAGTTTTTGTTTAATTTTATGACTGTTTAATTGTCAATAGGAATTTTAAGTCTTTCATCTATGGATATGACATAGTTCTCCATTTATGTATATATTCTTTGATCTTTTAGCAATATTTTGTCATTTTTCTGTATACAAGTCTTGCACGTTTTTATTTTATTTCTAAAATATTTTGTATATTTTTGTTGAGATTTTTTTTACAAAACAATCATTTTGTCTGTGAAGCAATATAATGTATTTTTCAATTTTTTCAATTTGTATACATTTTATTTCTTATTCTTGACTTACTACATTGGCTCAGATTTCCAATAAAATATTGAATGGGATTAGTGAGAATGAACAACCATACCTTGTTCTGAATTTTAGCATGGCATTAGCTGTAAGTTTTTAATAGGTTTCCTTTATTGATTCTACTTCTAATTTCCTGAGTTTTATCATGGATGCATATTGACTTTCTTCAAATGCTTTTTCTGAATCTATTGAAATGACCATAGATTTTTTTTCTTTAGTCTCTTACTATGGTGAATTACAAATGATTAATTTTTGAATGTTGAACCACTATTGCATTTCTGGGAAGAAAACACTTGGTGAGGATGCATTAGCCCTTTCTTATAATGCTAGATCTTATTTGTTGAAGTTTTAAGAAATTTTTCATCTGTGTTAATGAGGAATGTTGGTCATTTTAATGATGTATTTATGTATTTGTCTAGTTTTTATATCAGTCACTGCTGTCTCCTGTAGTAAAATCAGAAGTTATTTCTTTTCTTTTTAATTACTTTTTTTTTTTTTAATGGAGTCTCCTCCTGTCATCCAGGCTGGAGTACGGTGGCGCAATCTCAGCTCACTGCAACCTCTGCCTCTGGGGTCAAGCGATTTTCCTGCCTCCTGAGTAGCTGGGACTGCAGGCATGCACCACCACACCTGGCTAATTTTTGCATTTTTAGTAGAGAAGGTGTTTCTCCATGTTGGCCAGGCTGGTCTCAAACCCCTGACCTCAGGTGATCCGCCCACCTCGGCCTCCCAAAGTGCTGAGATTACAGACGTGAGCCACTGCACCTGGGCTTTTTTCTTTTTTTTTCTTTTTTAACGGTAGTTTGTGTAGAACTGGTATCATTTTTCTATAAATGTTCAGTAGAATTTACCAGTGAAGCCATCTAGGAGTAGGGTTTTTCTTTGTGGGAAGGTTTTAACTACAAAGTAAATTGCTTTAATAGATATAGAGCTATTCATTTATCTATTCTGATTGAGTTAACTTTCATTTTGCTGAGAATTTATATATTTAATCTAAATAGACAAAATTATTGATAGAAATTTGTTCACTGTAGTCCCTCTTTATCTATTTAATGCCTATAAGAGCTGCAGTTGTCACTCTTCTTTCATTCTTGATATAGGTATATATGAATTGTTTATATTTTCCCATATCAGTTTGATTAAAGTTTTAGCAGTTCTATTGTTGTTTCAAAGAACCAGGTTCTGGTATCTGTGGTAGGCTGAATTATAGTCTCTCCAAGATATTCACATCCTAATCCCCAGAATTTGTGAATATGTTATTTTACTTTACATGGCAAAGAGGAATTTGCTGATGTGATCAAGTTAAGGAATTGAGATGACAGGATTATCCTGAGTTATTTGGGCAGGTTCAATATAACCACAGGGTCCTTATAAGAAAGAGGCAGAAGGGTAAGAATCAAGGAAGGAGATGGGATGAAAGAAGCAGAGATTAGAGAGTAGAGAAGATGCTATGCTACTAGGTTTGAATGTAGAAATTAGGAGTCATTGGCCAAGGAATGTAGGCCACTACAAGAAGATGGAAAAGGCCGTGATTCTCCCTTAGAGCCTCAAGAAAGAATGCAGCTCTGTTAACACCTCAGTTTTCAGACTAGAAGGAATTCAGAGCTCCAAAATTGTAAGATAATAAATTTCTGTTGCTTTAAACTACTAAGGTTGTGGTAATTTGTTACAGCAGTAATAGGAAATTAATACAATAGATTTATTTTTTCTATATTTTTGCTTGTTTTCTAGTTCATTGACTTCTATTATTTAAAATTTTTCCCTCATGCCTGTAATCCCAGCACTTTGGGAGGCCGAGGCTAGTGGTCAGGAGTTCGAGAACAGCCTGGCTAACATGGTGAAACCTCATCTCTACTAATAATATTTTAAAAATTAGCTGGGCATGGCGGTGGGTGCCTGTAATTCCAGCTACTCAGGAGGCTGAGGCAGGAGAATCACCTGAACCCAGGAGGTGGAGGTTGCAGTGAGCCAAGATTCTGCCACTGCACTCCAGCCTGGGCGACTAGAGTGAAACTCAGTCTCAAAATAAATAAATAAATTAATTAATTAATTAAAATTTTTCCTTCTTATGTTTAGTATAAGTTTAATTTTCTCTCTTTTTTCTATTTTTTTCTTTTAGAATAGAAGCAGTGAGTTCCATAATTTTCTGTCAGCACTACATGACTCACATCTCATAAATTTTGATATGTTAGTTTCATTTTTATTCAATTCAAAACAATTTCTAACTTTTCATTCTTTCATTCAAGGGTCATTTAGAATTGTGATTTTTAATTTCCAAATAAATTTTTCAGTTGTCCTAGTGGGGTTTCTATTTTAATTTTATTGTTTAAGAGAAGGTATATTACATGATTTTAACATTTTTACATATATTAAAACTGTAACCACCCAATGAGCTCTCCTTGCCCACTGTCCACATAGAGCCGATTTATCAAGACAGGGGAATTGCAATAGAGAAAGAGTTTAATTCATGCAAAGCTGGCTGAACAGGAAACCAGAGTTTTATTATTAAAATCAGCCTGGAGTTTCTTTTTTTTTTTTTTTTAAGTGTAGAATTTTTATTACCTTTCTTTTTTTTATTTTATTATTATTATACTTTAAGTTTTAGGGTACATGTGCACAATGTGCAGGTTAGTTACATATGTATACACGTGCCATGCTGGTGTGCTGCACCCATTAACTCATCATTTAGCATTAGGTATATCTCCTAAAGCTATCCCTCCCCCCTCCCCCGACCCCACAACTGTCCCCAGAGTGTGATGTTCCCCTTCCTGTGTCCCTGTGTTCTCATTGTTCAATTCCCACCTATGAGTGAGAATATGCGGTGTTTGGTTTTTTGTTCTTGTGATAGTTTACTGAGAATGATGATTTCCAATTTCATCCATGTCCCTACAAAGGACATGAACTCATCATATTTTATGGCTGCATAGTATTCCATGGTGTATATGTGCCACATTTTCTTAATCCAGTCTATCATTGTTGGACATTTGGGTTGGTTCCAAGTCTTTGCTGTTGTGAATAGTGCCGCAATAAACATACGTGTGCATGTGTCTTTATAGCAGCATGATTTATAGTCCTTTGGGTATATACCCAGTAATGGGATGGCTGGGTCAAATGGTATTTCTAGTTCTAGATCCCTGAGGAATCGCCACACTGACTTCCACAATGGTTGAACTAGTTTACA
This sequence comes from Homo sapiens, assembly GCF_000001405.40. Lineage (NCBI taxonomy): Eukaryota > Metazoa > Chordata > Mammalia > Primates > Hominidae > Homo > Homo sapiens. Next base: position 49,875,668 of record NC_000002.12, read on the forward strand.
GTCCCACCAACAGTGTAAAAGTATTCCTATTTCTCCACATCCTCTCCAGCACCTGTTGTTTCCTGACTTTTTAATGATTGCCATTCTAACTGGTGTGAGATGGTATCTCATTGTGGTTTTGATTTGCATTTCTCTGATGGCCAATGATGGTGAGCATTTTTTCATGTGTTTTTTGGCTGCATAAATGTCTTCTTTTGAGAAGTGTCTGTTCATATCCTCTGCCCCATAAAATACCTAGGAATCCAACTTACAAGGGACATGAAGGACCTCTTCAAGGAGAACTACAAACCACTGCTCAATGAAATAAAAGAGGATACAAACAAATGGAAGAACATTCCATGCTCATGGGTAGGAAGAATCAATATCATGAAAATGGCCATACTGCCCAAGGTAATTTATAGATTCAATGCCATCCCCATCAAGCTACCAATGACTTTCTTCACGGAATTGGAAAAAACTACTTTAAAGTTCATATGGAACCAAAAAAGAGCCCGCATCTCCAAGTCAATCCTAAGCCAAAAGAACAAAGCTGGAGGCATCACGCTACCTGACTTCAAACTATACTACAAGGCTACAGTAACCAAAACAGCATGGTACTGGTACCAAAACAGAGATACTGGTACCAAAACAGAGATATACGTCAATGGAACAGAACAGAGTCCTCAGAAATAACATCACATATCTACAACTATCTGATCTTTGACAAACCTAAGAAAAACAAGCAATGGGGAAAGGATTCCCTATTTAATAAATGGTGCTGGGAAAACTGGCTAGCCATATGTAGAAAGCTGAAACTGGATCCCTTCCTTACATCTTATACAAAAATTAATTCAAGATGGATTAAAGACTTAAACATTAGACCTAAAACCATAAAAACCCTAGAAGAAAACCTAGGCATTACCATTCAGGAGATAGGCATGGGCAAGGGCTTCATGTCTAAAACACCAAAAGCAATGGCAACAAAAGCCAAAATTGACAAATGGGATCTAATTAAACTAAAGAGCTTCTGCACAGCAAAAGAAACTACCATCAGAGTGAACAGGCAACCTACAAAATGGGAGAAAATTTTCACAACCTACTCATCTGACAAAGGGATAATATCCAGAATCTACAATGAACTCAAACAAATTTACAGGCTGGAGTTTCTTAAGGATAATTTGGTGGGTAGGGGGCCAGAGAGTTGGGAGTGCTGATTGGTTGGGTCAGAGATTAAATCACAGGAGATCAAATAGGGTTCATCTCACTGTCTTTTGTTCCTGGGTGGGATCGCAGAGCTGGCTGAGCCAGATTACTGGTCTGGGTAGTGCCAGCTGGTACATCAGAATACAGGGTCTAACAGTCCCAGGAGCCCCAAGTTATCTTGGGAGGTCAAGAGGAGAGGAATTTACCAAACTCATAGGTATTTGAGGGTACAAACCCATGGCTGGACTCAGCTTTAAAAAAGTCTTATCTGAGATTTCTTATGGAAAAGAGTTTCATCAAAGCAAATTTTAAAAGCCTATGTAAGAAATAATTATTCTTCTTGTACTTCATGCAGACAATCAGGCCAAGTATAATAAGACTAAAGTTTATTTTGCAAACAAATTGATCCTATCATGATTTGTTTTTAATAAAAATGGTGACTGGAGAGAGAAAAATTATGCTTAAAAAAAAAATCTATCGTACACCTGTTGTTAGCTGTCCTTGGATTTTTTGTGCAGTTTGGACTAAATCCTAAATTCTTTGTGGGCTACAAGTCCCCAAACTAATGCTTTCAAATCTTTACTTTTAAAACTGGGAATTGCACTCCTTACCCTAGTACTCATTATTTACCTTATAGTACACTGTTCCCTTAAATACGGTACTATAACTTTAGATGATAATACTAACGCTTTTGCCATGCAAGCCTTGGAGCCCCAGCCAGGCCTGCATGAGTACGTTGACAGTTGCAAAACGGTTCCATTCCTCTCATCTTAGGATCAACACCTACCCCCACTATACCCTTGATCGGCAGGAAAAAGTTAGAGCTGTCTTTGCCCTTTCTCCATCTTCATTAGCCGACACCTTAAGTTTAAGGTGTTACAAAACCCAAAGGGAGGAATTGAAACCACCATTGCAAAATTGTAACTGAGACAGTCAAAGAGATCTGACCTAACCAACTCCATCTTACTTCTAACCTCCTCTTCCTGAACGCAGGCTGAACTAACTTTGGGAGGAATTTAGTTTACCGTTTAAAACAAAGATGAAAACAGCCCTTTCCTGAAACAAACTCCCTTCTTGCCTGGGTACTAGACTGTCTTTGTAGGACTCAAAAATTACCCACAAGAGGCCCGGCACGGTGGCTCACACCTGTAATCCCAGCACTTTGGGAGGCCGAGGCAGGCGGATCACCTGCGGTCAGGTGTTCAAGACAAGCCCGACCAACATGGAGAAACCCCATCTCTGCTAAAAATACAAAATTAGCCGGGCGTGGTGGCGCATGCCTGTAGTCCCAGCTACTCAGGGGGCTGAGGTAGGAGAGTCACTTGAACCCAGGAGGCGGAGGTTGCAGTGAGCCGAGATCACACCATTGTACTCCAGCCTGGGCAACAAGAGCAAAACTCCATCTCAAAAAAAAAAAAAAAAACTTAGCCACAAGATTAGAAATTACGGTTTAGGAGTCATGCAGCTGGAGGATACAAGGCTCTGACCTTCCCCAAATTGCTCCTGGGCATAAAATCACTATTGCAAAACTTCAGACCAGTGCTTGAGATATTTTGCAGACCCTGCATTTAATGGATCAGCTGGCACCACCCAGATCAATAAACTGGTTCATCTGATCTTGTGGCCCCCACCCAGGAATTGACTCAGAGCAAGAAGACAACTTCGACTCCCTGTGGTTTCAACTCTGACCTGACTAATCAGCACTCCTAGCTCACTGACCTCCGTCCACCCACCAAGTTGTCCTTAAAAACTTTGATATCCACTCTTTTTCTGGCTGGAACAATGGAGGGTGTAGAAGAGAAGAAGAAGAAGGTTCCTGCTGTGCCAGAAACCCTTAAGAAAAAGTGAAGGAATTTCACAGAACTGAAGATCAAGCACCTGAGAAAGAAGTTTGTCCAGAAGATGTTTCGAAAGGCAAGGAGGAAGCTTATCTATGAAAAAGCGAAGCACTTTCACGAGGAATATAGGCAGATGTACAGATCTGAAATTCGAATGGCGAGGATGGCAAGAAAAGCTGGCAACTTCTATGTATCTTCAGAACCCAAATTGGCGTTTGTCATCAGGACCAGAGGTGTCAATGGTGTGAGCCCAAATGTCCGAAAGGTGTTGCAGCTTCTACGCCTTTATCAAATCTTCAATGGAATCTTTGTGAAACTCAGAAAGGCTTCAATTAACATGCTGAGGATTGTAGACCCATACATTGCATGGGGGTACTCAAATCTGAAGTCAGTAAATGAACTAATCTGCAAGCATGGTTATGGCAAAATCAATAAGAAGCGAAATGCTTTGACAGATAACGCTTTGATTGCTCGATCTCTTGATAAATATGACATCATCTGCATGGAGATCTGATTCATGAGATCTATACTGTTGGAAAACACTTCAAAGAAAATAACTTCCTGCGGCCATTCAAATTATCTTCTCCATGAGATGGAATGAAGGCCACCCATTTTGCAGAAGGTGGAGATGCTGGCAACAGGGAGGACCAGATCAACAGGCTTATTAGAAGAGTGAACTAAGGTGTCTACCATGATTATTTTTCTAAGCTGGTTGGTTAATAAGCAGTACCTGCTCTCAAATTGAAACAAACAAACAAACAAAAACTCTGATTTCCAAATGTTTGGGGAGACTGACTTGAGTAATAATATAGCTATGGTCTCCCACAAAACAAACAAACAAACAAAAACAAGGGTCTGAAAAATATCTTGAACATCAATTTTAGGTTTTAAAATAGTGATGTTATCCCTAGGAGCAATCGGGCAAGGAGATTAGGAATCTTGTGGCCTCTGGCTGAATGACTCCTAAACCATAATTTCTAATCTTGTGGCAAATTTGTTAGTTTTAAAAGGCAGTCTCTTCCACAGGCAAGAGAGAGGTTCGTTTTGGGAAAGGGCTGTTATCATCTTTGTTTGAAAGTTAAACTTTGTTTGTTTGAAACAAACAAAGTTTGTTGAAAGTTATCTTTGTTGAAAGTTAAACTGTATATTAAATTCCTTCCAATGTTAGTTCAGCCCATGCCCAGGAAAGAAAAAGGGCAGCTTAAAGGTTTAGAAACAAGATGGAGTTGGTTAGGTCGCATCTCTTTCACTGTCATACTTTTCTTACTGTTACAACTTTTGCAAAGGCAGTTTCAAAACTCATTTTTTTATTGTCTCAGAATATAGGTTATCTTGATGATTGTTCCATATGCACGTTTAAAAATGAATATTTTTCAATGTTTTATTTTACGGTAAAGTGTTCCATAGATTTTACTTAGCTGAAGTTGAAACCACCTTTGCAAAAATTATGACAATGAAAGAGATCTGACCTAACATACCCCATCTTGCCTTTACGCTCCAAGCTGCCCTTGGGCACTTCTGGGCATACACCAGCTAAGTATAGAAGGAATTTAGTTCAAAGTTTAACTTTGAAACAAAGATGATAACAGCCCTTTCCCAAAACAAAGCTCCTCTTTGCCTGGGGACCAGACAGCCTTTGTAAAACTAACAAATTAGCTACAAGATTAGAAATTATGACTCAGGAGTCATGCAGCCAGAGACCACAAGACTCCTAACCTCCTCCATTGCTCCTCTGGATAGCATCACTATTGTAAAACCTAACATTGGTGTTCAAGATATTTTTCAGACCCTGCATGCTCATGTACCAGTTTATGCCACCCAAACTGGTAATCTGGTTTAACTATTTCTGCTCTCCCACCCAGGAACAGAAAATAGCAAGAAGAACCCACGTCAACACCCTGTGATTTTTATCCCCAACCTGACCAATCTGTGTTTCCCACTCTCTAGCCTCCAGCCTGACAAATTATCCTTGAAAAACCTTAGTTTCTGAATTTTTAGGGAGACTGATTTGAGTAATAATACTTGGACGGTTTAGCCAGCTCTGCACGTATTACACTATTTCTCTATTCCAATTCCCCTATCTCAGTAAATTGGCTCTATCTGGGCAGCAGACAAGAAGAATCTGTTAGGCATTTACAAAGTGAATTGAAGGGGATGTTTATGTATTTTATAAATTTACTGACTTTTTGTCTATTTTTGTATCGATTATTGATAAATGATTGTTGAAACCTCCAATTATAATTGTGGTTGTTTCTATACGTTCTTAAGTTTATCAGATTTGTTTAATGTACTTTGAAGTTATGATATTATGTGTGTGTATACATGTATGTATATATTTTCAGATTCTTTTATCCACTCGATGTTGGATGATCCACTTGATGATGGATGATCCACTTGATGGATGATGGTTTTATCTGCTTGATCAACTTTGTTTACTATAAAATTTTCTTCTATATTCATGCTAACATGCCTTATTCTAAAATCTACCTTGTCTGATATTAATATACTGATTCCAGTTTTCCTTTGTATTTGCATAATATATTTTTTACCCTTTAACAATTAATGTATCTGTGTCCCAATATTTAAAGTGGTTTTCTTCCAGCCAATAGAAAATTGGATCTTGATTTTTTTAAATCCAGTTTTATATTCCCTGTCTTTCAATGGGTGTGTTAGGGCATTTGCATAAAATTTTATTATTCATATAGATAGGTTTATATCTATTATGATTTTGTGGTTTTTTTCTTCCCTATATGTTAAATTAGTATTTATAATTATTTCACTGAGCTCTTAAAGATTCCAAATTCCTTGGATGCTCAACTTACTGTTATAAAATGGCTAGTGCAGTATTTACATATAACATATGCACACCCTCCTGTATACATTGAATCATTTCTAGATTATTTATAACACCTAAGGCAATGTAAATGCTATGTAAATAGTTGTTATCCTTAATCATGTAAGATATAATGACAACATTTAAAAGTCTATACATGTTCATGTTCGGTACAGATGCAATTCTTTTTCAAATATTTTTGATCCATGGTTGATTGAATTCACAAATGCAGAACCCATGAATACAAAGAGCTGACTGTACCTATTTTTCCTGTTCTTTCAGTGATTGTTTTAAGGCTTCCAAGACACCCTTTTAAATTATCATGGTTTAATTACAATTATTCAATACTTTATACATATAAAAATTCTGGGTTGCTGGCAAGATGGCTGAATAGGAATAGCTCTGGTCTACAGCTCCCAGCGAGATCAACGCAAAAGGTGGGTGATTTCTGCATTTCCACCTGAGGTACCCAATCCATCTCACTGGGAATGGTTGGACAGTGGGTGCAGCCCATGGAGGGTGAGCTGAAGCAGGGTGGGGCATCACCTCACCCGGGAAGAGCATGAGGTCAGGGAACTTTCTTCCCTACCCAACTGAAGCCGTGAGGGATTGAGCCAGAGGAAGTCCAGCACACATACTGCACTTGTCCCATGGTCTTCGCAACCCACAAACCAGGAGATTCCCTCCAGTGCCTACCCCACCAGGGCCCTGGGTTTCAAGCATAAAACTGCGTGGCCATTTGGGCAGACACCAAACTAGCTGCAGGAGTTCTTTTTTTCCATACCCCATTGGTGCCCGGAATGCCAGCGAGACAGAACTGTTCCCTCTCCTGGAAAGGGGTGCTGAAGCCAGGGAGCCAAGTGGTCTGGCATGGCGGGTCCCACCCCCATGGAGCCCAGCAAACTAAGATCCACTGGCTTGAAATTCTCGCTGCCAGCACAGCAGCAGTCTAAGATCCACCTGGGATGCTCAAGCTTGGTGGAGGGAGGGATGTCTGCCATTGCTGAGGCTTGAGTAGGTGGTTTTATGCTCACAGTGTAAACAAGGCCACTGGGAAGTTTGAACTGGGTAGAGACCATTGCAGCTCAGCAAGGCTGCTGTGGTCAGACTGCCAGATTTCTCTTCTTTCAGCAGGGCATCCCTGAAAAAAAGGCAGCAGCCCCAGTCAGGGACTTACAGATAAAACCCCCATCTCTCTGGGACACAGCACCTGCAGAAAGGGGCAGCTGTGGGTGCAGCTTCACCAGACTTAAATATCCCTGCCTGATGGCTCTGAAGAGAGAGCAGCGGACCTCACAGCACAACCTTCAAGCTCTGCTAAGGGTCAGACTGCCTCCTCAAGTGGATCTCTGACCCCCGTGTATCCTGACTAGGAGACACCTCCCAGTGGAGCCAACAGATACCTCATACAGGAGAGCTCTGGCTGACATCAAGCAGGTGCCCCTCTGGGATGAAGCTTCCAGAGGAAAGATCAGGCAGCAATCTTTGCTGTTCCGCTGTTCTGCAGCGTCCGCTGGTGATACCCAAACAGGGTCCAGAGTGGACCTCCAGCAAACTCTAGCAGACCGGCAGCAGGGAGGACTGACTATCAGATGGAAAACTAACAAACAGAAAGGAATAGCATGTCCACTCAAAGACCCCATCCGAAGGTCACCAACATCGAAGACCAAATGTAGGTAAATCCACAAAGGTAGTGGGAAAACAGCACAACAAGACTGAAAATTCCTAAAACCAGAATGCCCCTTGTCTTCCAAAGGATCACAACTCCTTGCTAGCAAGGGAACAAAACTGGACGGAAAATGAGTTTGACGAATTGACAGAAGTAGGCTTCAGAAGGTGGGTAATAACAAACTCCTCAAAGCAAAAAGAGCACATTCTAACCCAATGCAAGGAAGCTAAGAACCTTGAAAAAAGGTTAGACGAATTGCTAACTAGAATAACCAGTGTAGAGAAGAATATAATGACCTGATGGAGCAAAAAACACAGCACGAGAACTTTGTGAAGCTTACACAAGTGTCAATAGCCGAATTGATCAAGCAGAAAAAAGGATATCGGTGATTGAAGATCAACTTAATGAAATAAAGAGAGAAGACAAGATTAGAGAAAAAAGAATGAAAAGGAATGAACAAAGCTTTGAAGAAATATGGGACTATGTGAAAAGACCAAATCTACCTTTCATTGGTGTATCTGAAAGTGATGAGGAGAATGGAACCAAGTTGGAAAACACTCTGCAGGATATTATCCAGGAGAACTTCCCCGAACTAGCAAGACAGGCCAACATTCAAATTCAGGAAATACAGGGAACACCACAAAGATACTCCTCAAGAAGAGCAACCCCAAGAAACATAATCATTAAATTCACCAAAGTTGAAATGAAGGAAAAAATGTTAAGGGCAGCCACAGAGAAAGGTCAGGTTACCCACAAAGGGAAGCCCATTAGACTAACACCGGATCTCTCGGCAGAAACCCTACAAGCCGGAAGAGAGAGGGGGACAATATTCAACATTCTTAAAGAAAAGAATTTTCAACCCAGAATTTCTTATCCAGCCAAACTAAGCTTCATAAGCAAAGGAGAAATAAAATCCTTTATAGACAAGCAAATGCTGAGAGATTTTGTCATCTCCAGGCCTGCCTCACAAGAGCTCCTGGAGGAAGGACTAAACATGGAAAGGAACAACCAGTACCAGCCACTGCAAAAACATACCAAATTGTAAAGAACAGCAACACTATGAAGAAACTGCATCAACTAATGGGCAAAACAACCAGCTAGCATCACAATGACAGGATCAAATTCACACATAACAATATTAACCCTAAATGTAAATGGACTAAGTGCCTCAGTTAAAAGACACAGACTGGCAAATTTGATAAATAGTCAAGACCCATCAGTGTGCTATATTCAGGAGACCCATGTCACATGCAAAGTACACACATAGGCTCAAAATACAGGGATGGAGGAATATTTACCAAGCAAATGGAAAGCAAAAAAAAAAAGCAGGAGTTGCAATACTAATCTCTGATAAAACAGACTTTAAACCAACAAAGATCAAAAGAGACAAAGAAGGTCATGATATAATGGTAAAGAGATCAATGCAGCAAGAAGAGCTAACTATCCTAAATATATATGCACCCAATACAGGAGCAACCAGATTCATAAAGCAAGTTCTTAGAGACTTACAAAGAGACTTAGACTTCCACACAATAATAGTGGGAGACTTTAACACCCCACAGTCAATATTAGACAGATCAATGACACAGAAAATTAACAAGAATATTCAGGACTTGAACTCAGCTGTGGAAAAAGCAGACCTAATAGACATCTACAGAACTCTCCACCCCAAATCTACAGAATATAGATTTTTCTCAGCACCTCATCACACTTATTCTGAAATTGACCACATAATTGGAAGTAAAACACTCCTCAGCAAACGCAAAAGAACAGAAATCATAACAAACAGTCTCTCAGACCACAGTGCAATCAAATTAGAACTCAGGATTAAGAAACTCACTCAAAACCGCACAACTACATGGAAACTGAACAACCTGCTCCTGAATGATTACTGGGTAAATAACGAAATGAAGGCAGAAATAAAGATTTTCTTTGAAACCAATGAGAACAAAGACACAACGTACCAGAATCTCTGGGACACATTTAAAGCAGTATGCATAGAGGGAAATTTATAGGACTAAATGTCCACAAGAGAAAGCAGGAAAGATCTAAAACTGACACCCTAACATGAAAATTGCAAGAACTAGAGAAGCAAGAGTAAACAAATTCAAAAGCTAGCAGAAGACAAGAAATAACTAAGATCAGATCAGAACTGAAGGAGACAGAGACACAAAAAAACCCTTCAAAAAATCAATGAATCCAGGAGCTGGTTGTTTGAAAAGATCAACAAAATAGATAGACTGCTGGCCAGACTAATAAAGAAGAAAAGACTAATAAAGAAGAATCAAATAGACGCAATAAAAAATGATATAGGGGATATCATCACTGATCCCACAGAAATACAAACTATCATCACAGAATATTATAAACACCTCAATGCAAATAAACTAGAAAATCTAGAAGAAATGGATAAATTCCTGGACACATACACCCTCCCAAGTCTAAACCAGGAAGAAGTAAAATCCCTGAATAAACCAAAAACTAGTTCTGAAATTGAGGCAGTAATTAATAGTCTGGCAACCAAAAAAAGTCCAGGACAGACGGATTCACAGCCAAATTCTACCAGAGGTACGAAGAGGAGCTGGTACCTTTCCTTCTGAAACTATTACAAACAATAGAAAAAGAGGGAATGCTCCCTAACTCATTTTATGAGGCCAACATCATCCTGATACCAAAACCTGGCAGAGACACAACAGAAAAATAAAATTTCAGGCCAATATCCCTGAAGAATATCGATGTGAAAATCCTCAATAAAATACTGGCAAACCGAATCCAGCAGCACATCAAACAGCTTATCCATCACGATCAAGTCAGCTTCATACCTGGGATGCAAGGCTGGTTCAACATATGCAAATCAACAAATGTAATCCATCACATAAACAGAACCAATGACAAAAACCACATGATTATCTCAACAGATGCAGAAAAGGCCTTTGACAAAATTCAGCACTCCTTCATGCTAAAAACTCTCAATAAACTAGGTATCAACTGAACATATATCAAAATAATAAGAGCTATTTATGACAAACTCACAGCCAATATCATACTGAATGGGCAAAAATTGGAAGCATTCCCTTTGAAAACCAGCACAAGACAAGGATGCCCTCCTTCACCACTGCTATTCAACATAGAATTGGAAGTTCTGGCCAGGGCAATCAGGCAACAGAAAGAAATAAAGATATTCAAATAGGAAGAGAGGAAATCAAATTGTCTCTTTTTGCAGATGACATGATTGTATATTTAGAAAACCCCATCGTCTCAGCCCCAAAATCTCCTTAAGCTGACAAGCAACTTCAGCAAAGTCTCAGGATACAAAATCAATGTGCAAAAATCACAAGCATTCCTATACACCAATTACAGACAGAGAGCCAAATAATGAGTGAACTCCCATTCACAGTTGCTACTAAGAGAATACCTAGAAATACAACTTACAAGGGATGTCAAGGACCTCTTCAAGGAGAACTACAAACCACTGCTCAAGGAAATGACAGAGGACACAAATGGAAAAACATTCCATGCTCATGGATAGGAAGAATCAATATTGTGAAAAGAGGCCATACTGCCCAAAGTAATTTATAGATTCAATGCTATCCCCATCAAGCTACCACTGACTTTCTTCACAGAATTGGAAAAAACTACTTTAAACTTCATATGGAACCAAAAAAATAGCCCTCATAGCTCAGACAATCCTGGGCAAGAAGAACAAAGCTGGAGGCATTTGAAGTCACTACCTGACTTCAAACTATACTACAAGGCTACAGTAACCAAAATAGCATGGTACTGGTACCAAAACAGATATATAGACCAATGGAACAGAACAGAGGCCTCAGAAATAACACTACACATCTACAATTACCTAATCTTTGACAAACCTGACACAAACAAGCAATGGAAAACATTCCCTATTTAATCAATTGTGTTGGGAAAATTGGCTAGCCATATGTAGAAAACTGAAACTGGACCCCTTCCTTACACCTTATACAAAAAATCAACTCAAGATAGATCAAAGACTTAAACATAAGACGTAGGACCATAAAAATCCTAGAAGAAAACCTGGGCAATACCATTCAGGGCACAGACATGGGTAAAGACTTCATGACTAAATCACCAAAGGCAATGGCAACAGAAGCCA